>NC_000015.10:93562490-93714005 GCF_000001405.40 Homo sapiens | reverse complement strand
AATCTCTCACTTTACTAGTGAACCTATATAGAAAAAATCACATTTGTTCATTGCAGTAAAATAGAATATGAAATTTACCATTTCAACCATCTTTAAGTGTACAATTCAGTAGCATGAAGTACATCCATGCTGTTGTGCAACTATCACCAACACCCATCTCCAGAATATTTTCATCTTGTCCAACTGAAACTCTGCAACTATTAAACAATAGCCACCTCTCCCTGTCTCCCCAGCCCCCAGCAACCAGCCTTCTGTTTTCTGTCTCTATGAATTTGACTACTCATAGGTACCTCACGCAGTAGAATCATACAGTGTTTGTCCTTCTGTTTCTAGCTTATTTCAAAAATTGCAACTTTTAAATTGAGGGCAACACAGTAGAAGGAAATGGCTGGTATTTTTAAAGACACGGCCCTCAGTTCATGACCCACTTCTGCCACTTACTCCCTCTGAGTTTTCAGGGAAAGTCCTCTAAACCTATTTTCTCATCAGCCCCAAACAATGGTATAAAATGTGGGTTGTGTGACTGTCCCGAGGACTGCTGTGTCCTCAGCATGGTATATGATATCAACTGATTGCTCAACGGATAGCATTTCCTCTCCTAGCTACCAAACCTGAGGAATTTGAAATAAGTGCAGATGTCTAGCTTTCAAGTTACTGAAATCTTAAACTACTGCTTATGCACCTATCAGATATGAACTCGAACAGACTCTTGTTAAAATGGGATGAATAAGAATATCTTCCTCAAAGGTTTATTGTGGTAATAAAATAAGATTAAATATGAGACTTTGATGCATCAAATTCAATAACTGTTGATCCAATCTCGATGAGAGGGATTCCAGCCGGGCATCAGAAGATCTGGGATCCACATGATGAAAGCGATACGGTTGTTAGCCTCCCCAAGATAAGAGAGAAGGAAAGATGATGTAGTATTCATAGCCTAAAAGGAGAGGACTATGGCCCCATAAAAAGCCTTATATTTCCTGCAATAAAAATAGTATTGAATAGAAACATATGCTTGATAGAATTTTTTATTTTATTGTTGGGATAAAAACTAAAGCTCACCTACATCAATATTATCATTTCATGAAGCTGGTAATGGCTCTTACCTCATATCCCCAACTCCTTTTCACCAAATAGACTGCTATTTGCTTTACTATATCCCTGGAAAATTATCCTTATCTTGCCTTTCAGCCAAGGTAATGAAGCTTTATCTTGCACTAGTATATTATTATTATTATTATTATTATTATTATTATTATTATTAAGCTCCATTCTGCTTCTACCATTTCCAAGAGGGCTTGATCCCTAAGAAATTAGGCTGAGTTGTGGAGTCAGCTGAACCTAACTTGTAACTCACAGAGTTACAAGATGTTGGACCTGTTCCCAGTGACAGGGGAAAGGCAAGATATCTGAGTTTTTAGCCTGAGTACCTGAAGTAAATGTATCTACAACAAAGGGCACACTGAAGCCAATCAATAAAAATATTTAATGTTACATATATTTAAAAGTTTTAGATGAAATGACACATAAAATCATAGAACACACACACACGTCTAAGTCAGACCCTAAGACAAAAGTCAGGAACTCAGCAGTGTGGTGGGCTGGATAGTGGTCCCCAGTTACATCGGGTCCCAATCTCTGGAACCTGCCAATGCTACTTTACATGAAAAAGGAGACTTTGCAGATGTAATTAAATTAAAAATACTGACATGTGGAGCTTACTCTGTAATCACATGTTGCCTGATAAGAAAGAGGCTGAGGGAGATCTGACACAGAGAAAAAAAAAGGTAACATGAAGACAGAACGGAGAAAGATTTGAAGATGCTGGCCTTGAGGATCAGAATGATGCAGCCACAAACCAAGGAAAGCTTGCAGCCAAAAGAAGCGAGAAGAGGTAAGACAAGTATTCTCCCCTAAACCCCTGAATGAGGTGCAGCCCTACTGATACTTTGATTTCAACCTGGTGATACTGATTTTGGACTTCCAGCCTTTAGAGCTATGGAAGAACAAATTTCTGTTGCTTAAGCTACCAAGTCAACGATAATATGTTTCAGTAGCAATAGAAAACTAATACAATCTCTTCTCTCATGGATCTGACAGTCTAGAAGAGAAGACAGAAAGTTGCATACTGACAGTAACATATGATGGTTGATAGGATATGAAAGAAAAAGGTGCTTTGAGAACATATTACCAGGAGGCCTAATCAAGCATTGGAGGTCAGAGAGTACCATACTGAAGGTGCTTAACATGAGATCCAAAGATTTGAAGTTAGTAGCAGTTACATGACAAGGTACAGGGTAATCATGGAAGTATGTTCCACTCAGTGCAAGGTCCATAGAGAGCACTGCATATTCTAGCCCTGAAGCTATCCCAGTGGGCCAGATCCTGGAGCAAATTGAGTGGGAGAGAATGAGGTGCAAAGGCAGACAGACTATATAATGCAAGGACTAGTAACCGTGCCGAGGGACTTAGAGATCATCTGAAAAGCAATGGAAAGCCACTCAAGGTTTTCAAGTCAGGAGATGATGTATCAGATTTCAGTTTTTAAGGTAGGTAATTTTTATTTCAATGCAAAGAATTTCTGGAATTGAACTGGAACAAAACCAATTGGAGAGACTGTGGCTGTTATTCAGGCAAAAGATCATTGTGGCTTGTACCAAGACAAAGGACAATGACAGTGAGGCTAGAGAGGAGGAGTGAATACTTGCAAGAAATCTTTAGGCAATAAGATGTTTAGTTGGTAGAACAGAACTCTGTGGTTGATTGGATATGGGATCTGTGAGAAAGCAAAGACTCAAGGGGGCTTTATTTACTGAGGTATGGAATGCTGAGATTTCAGGATGGTAACTATGAGTTTGATTTTAGATGCATTGTGATTGACATAGCGGTAGAAAATAAAAATGGAAATATTGAGATGGCAACTGGAAATAAAGATATGAAACACAGAGTGTCAGTCTGACCTAAAGAGGTAGAAGTGGGATTTACTGTCTAGAAGGGGAAAAAGAGGAAAAGGGACAGAATAGAGACCAGAGACACACTCAGGAAATGTCAGTCCTTGCAATGCATCCCCAAGATGAGACTCTGTATCCATCAGACAGCTCTCCATTATTCAAAACCTTCGCAGTGCTGGGATTACTTTTTTATTTCCAAAAGTTTCTTAAAGAACATGCTTACACGGTGCCTCACAAGTAAACTTATTCTTTTCGTTCAACAATGAGATGATAGATATTGCAGAAATAAAAAGATGAACATAAAATGGTAACTGCCTCCATTGTTCACAGTATTAGAAATAGATACGCTAGATATTGTACATAGGTAGAATAATACCCATGTGAATGATGTGGCTAGCATTTATTAAGTGCCTGTTACATGTCGTTAGGTGTTTTGTTTGGCCTTTAAATTGGAGCAGTGATGAAAACAGAGAAGGACCTTGTACTCAAGGAGTATATCTTCTAAACAAAGTACTTTGAGAGTAGAGAGATGAGAGTAGATACTGGGTAATGTGCATTGGAAGATAAAGGGAGTCATATCTTCTCCCAGGCCAGGGGAGTGGATGGCAAAATTGAAGAAGGCTGCTAAGGCAAGGTGACTTGTGACTTGAAGTTTGACAAATGAAGAGGAATTCATCAGCTAATGGGGAGGGAAGGGCATAGAGAGCAGGGCACGTAAAATAATGATTCAGAGATGAAAAAGTACATAACATCATCAGAGAATGGGGAACAATTTATGTAGCGGAAGCCTTGTAAATTGGAGCCCGATTCTGAAGAATCTTGAATGCCATGCAAAGCAATTTGAGCTCCAAATATTTTTAGCCAACCAGGTATAACCTTTATTTTTTTCTGGTCCAGTTAAATCTGTTAATACCCACAGACAGCAGAACACTCAGCATATTATAGGTCACTTGATTAATCCAGTGTAAGCCATGCTCCATCTCCACAATGAACAATTAAAATACATAAAATGGTTTTATGCTGTGGGATAAGACTCACTCTTTAAAAATTTTCTAGCTAGTAATCAGGTATACCAGGGGACAAAGTTGATTCTCTATCCTTGAGTTCTTAGGGTGTTGAGACAGTTTCAGGCCAGTCTTGTCTAGACCTGTGAAGCCAACCTGTATGACCACTCTAGTCTGTTCTGGAACTCAGGATTTTTATGATTGTGAAATCTTGCAGCACATTTAAAGGACAAGCTGACAATAAATTGCTGGAGTAAAACTAAAACAATGCAAGGATTTCATTTCATATTTATGTCCACCTTTACGGTGCTTTTAAAATCTGTGACTTTTCCTTTGCTGTGCAAAAGCTTTTGCAGCACCTTGGCATCAGGCAAAAATAAGATACCTTTTGTGGTTCCCTAACTAATAATTTTATCAGCCATTTAGCAATTCAGCTTCAAGCTTCTGCAATATACTTGCTAACCTTTAATTAATAGGAAGCCTTTACCTTTATTCTCACAATGAAAGATAAGATCATTGTCACATGTCAAACAATAGAAAGTTAATTCTGTTTGTCACTGTTTTCTGTTAGAGTGAATATTGCATTTCTTTCCAAGTAGAATATTTATATGGGAATAATTTTACAGCTACATATAACCACAATCTTTCTTCAAAATGATGAATTTCGAAGGCCAAGACTTGTATGATAAAATCTCACTATATAATTTAATGATCTAGAAGAATGGTTGGACCGTTGTTGAATTTATGGACTCTTTGTGTATTAAAAAGTAGACATGAGCTCAGACTTCTCCAGTGATGAATAGGTACAGGGGCATGAACAGCAACTATTCATATAAGGTCAGGGTCTCTTCAAATCATTCCATCTTTGGGTCAAGATGTACACAGACTATTGCAAATTCTCTCATCACCTATTAAAAATGTAAACACTATGAGGTGGTAAAGCCCATTGCTTAAAAGAAAAGTTTCATGGCTTCTTGCCCTTAGCCTGCAGACCTCTTGTGGGATGATGTAGTCCTGGGCACAAACTGGCTTTTAATGTGATGTAGGTCACACTTCAAGCAGACTCGGGAGAGGCCCAAGGGCACGGGCTATCTTTCACTGTGAAAGCTAGGTTCAGGCTTGATAGCATGACCAGCATGAATGACTATGGAACTTTGGGCAAGAACAACAGCCAGCCATGCGCAACTGCACCTGAGAGCTGTTTTAAATTCAGGGATACTGTCCTTGACTTTGAGAAAATATCAGATCCCTCTTTTTCATTCCACGATGACTTTCTTTTTTTCTTTTTTTCTGGTGAACAGGGTGAAAACAAAGTAACATAACACTGCATCAAGATGCGCAGCTTGTGAAAGAAAGAGCCAATAAATCAGATGATTTGCTGTATCTACACAAGGTCAAATTGCAAAACAGATTGACTTTTCTCCACTAAACCGTCCAGCTTGGGACTTATAACAGCTGAACGCTTGGGGAGTTATTTTCAGTCTTTACAACAGAAAATAATTAAAACATTAAATCTCTAAACAGGCTGAAAATAAAGTAACCAAAGACCAAAAATCAAAAAACCAAAAAGCAAACACCAACAAATGTCCTCTCAAATGGTACTTAAAGTAGAATTTTCTTCCTTATTTTTGTAACTTCAACAAAAGGTATCAGGAAAGCTGTGCAGGTAAGTGAAGTTTGGACCAAAACCAAGGGAAATACAGGTAAGATAAGCAAAGTGAATATAATAGAACTGGCATTTATTACGCAGCAAGCATGTGCCAATGAATATGCCAGGTCCTCCACATAGTATCTCAACTTTACACATACAACAGTTCCATGAGATGGATATTTTAATCTTTGTATTACAAATTAAAACTTGAAGTATAGCAAAGTTATATAATTTATGCAACAATGCACAGATACTAAGGATTCAGACGCAGCTGTGGGAAAGCCCTTGTTGTTTTCCCGGGGGTTTCATGCTGCCTCCTCCATCATCTTGTCATCTGATATCCAATCCCACTCTCATCCCAGTGTCCAAAACCTAAGTGAGCACAAATTGCAAATGATTGTTGGACTTTAAGCTTCAAAGGGGGATGCAGGAGAGCCAGAGATGTGGGTGGGTGGGGTTGCCGAGAAGATCTACTAAATGCAAACTCCATTTCTCATCTGCCAGGTTACATCTGGCCAGCATCCAGCGACGCTTTCCCCCACACTCTCCCTCTAACATTTCACAGGACCCATCTCTGAGCCCTTGCCAGAGTCCTTTGCTCCTCCATGAGGCCTCTACAGAGCACAGTCAGCTGGGGCAGAAAAGGAGGTGAGGGAATGGAGAGACTGTGCTGGGTTCCGCACACTGCCAGCGGGCTAGAACTAAAGACATTTTCATGCTTACCAAAAATCCCAAACTTTCTCAAGTTTGGTTAAAAAAACAAATTTGAAGAAAAACAGAATCCCTGGAGACAAGATGACTTGTTTTAGAAAATGCTTTCAGAATTTATATTTTTCAATAAATGAACCAAGAATTCTATAAAGCAAGACTTTCTCAAACTGAAAGGAATGCCCCACAACGTTAGCAGTTTTATCTCTGGGTTAACAAAAGCACTAATTATTCTTTTCCAAATGCTGTCAATTTTATGTTTTCTAAAATGAGGACTTATTGTTATCCAATGGAAAAAATAAGAATAATTTTCACTTGAAAAAGCAATAGTTAAAAGTTTCCCCTCTGACAATTTCACTCTGAAAGTACTTTTAGGGAACACGGTGATATACACGCTGTGCAATATTGCTTTTGAGATTATCTTAAAATCTTAAAGTGGATTGAGATGGAGATTGAGTTTCCTTGGTCAATAAATTTCAGTTCAGGGAGGAATTTTCCTCAAGGCTTCTTGGCAGGAATCTTACATACTTTTCACCTTTTCTTGGGAGAGTCCTGGGCAGGGTTCTTCCTCATATGTTCCTATCTATCAATTTCTCACATTTGACAGAAATACCACAGGACAAGAATTCAGCTTTTCAACCCAAAATGCCTGAAGCCAGCACACGCAGCTCCTCCTAAATCACAGAAAAATGCCTGAAAAAGTCAACAAGAATTCAAATTAAGGGACAGAGAGTGAATCACCCAGAGAAAAATGTAAATAGCTATTATGTCAATTATGTTTAATTTTTTCTTAATTTTAGAATAGTTTTACATTTGTAGAAAAATTACAAAGAGGATACAGAGTTCTCACATAGCCTACACCCAGCTTCCCTTATTATCCATCTGATATCCAATCCCACTCTCACCCCAGTGTCCAAACCTAAGTGAGCACAAATTGCAAATTACTGTTGGACTTTAAGCTTCAAGGGCGATGCAGGAGAGCCAGAGACGTGTGTGGGTAGGGTTGCCGAGAAGATCTACTAAATGCAAGCTCCATTTCTCATCTGCGAGGTTACATTTGGTCAGCAGCCAGCGATGCTGCACTTTCCCCCACACTCTCCCTCTACCACTTCACAGGACCCATCTCTGAGCCCTTCGCAGAGTCCTTTTATATTTACATTAGGGTGGTACATTTGTCACAATAAATGAAACAATATGTATATATTATAATGATCTAAAGTCCATATTTTTTCCAGATTTCCTTCATTTTTTACTGAAGATTCTTTTCTTTCCCAGGATCTCACACACAGTCCGCACTACATTTTATCCTCGTGTCTCCTGAGCCTCTGCTTGGCTGGGACTGTGTGTCAATTACATTTTAACCTTTTGAAATCTGGAAGAGCTAAAGGGATGTTGATGTTGTTGTTGTTAAACACTTTACAGACTTATGTATGACTAGACATTCTCAGGAAGGTATCTGAATCCCTAAGACATATGTAAGTTACCAATATCCACGTAAGTGCTAAGCAAATTAGAAAACAAAAGAAACGTCCAGCATATTCACAGATCAATGAGTGTGCTTTATTTCATGCAGCTGTCTGATAACTTTTAGGTGGAGAAGCCCATCTGGTTAAATCTGGTTGACATCCAGTGCATTTTAAAAAGCAGAATTCAAAGACAGCGCTGGTCTGCCCCACAGGAGAAAACAGAAATCTGTCAAAGGCCTACTGTCGTAAAGGAAACAGGATATACAGTGTCATCTGACACACAGCACCTAGCATAGTGCCTGGCACATGTGTTGAAGGAATAAATATAAATGAATAAATGCAGTCTTAGAGGTGACTGTGGAGAGGGCCCCCACAGCAGAACTTAATTTCAAAGGCTGAGATGATTCACGTGCAAAGTGAAATCTACCATCAACTCTAGAAGAGCAGAACCTCAGGGGACTGTGATTTTTTTTTTTTTTTAGCTTATGATTTTAAAAAGACACACACCACAGAGGTGAAGGGCATATCATAAATTGCTTCTGCTTACTAGATGTGGAGCCTTTAGGAGAGTTATTTAAACTCTTCGAGAGTTAGTTTTCTCATTTGCATAATGCAGATGGTAATAGTTCCTAAGCAGACTTGCTGAGAGAATTAAAGAAGAAAATGTCCAATTTAAGAGTAGCTGCTTGAGTAAAATGGCAAAAGATACCTTCATCATCATTATCATTATCTTCATCATCATCTTTGCTAACGTCTTTGTCAAAGATGAGAAAACACTCACTTTAATTGCTACTCAAGGCTATCACATGCAAAGTAGGGACTATTTTCTAATCGCTTTCTCTTGACCATCATCTCTCTCCAGCACAGAATTTTCACTTCTGAAGCAACTACATAATATCCTGTCATCTGTCTGGCAAATTTTTAACCATCCTTTGAAGTGCACGCAAAAAGCATCTCTTCTGAAAAGCTTTCGTATGCCCCTCTTTTGGGGCTCCCTAACACCAAGTTAGTATCTCCATAAAACTCTTAGATTTTTTTTTTTTTTTTTTTTTTTTTTTTTGAGACGGAGTCGCTCTGTCTCCCAGGCTGGAATGTAGTGGTGCGAACTCGGCTCACTGCAAGCTCCGCCTCCCAGGTTCATGCCATTCTCCTGCCTCAGCCTCCCTAGTAGCTGGGACTACAGGCGCTCGCCATCACGCCCAGCTCATTTTTTGTGTGTTTTTTAGTAGAGACGGGGTTTCACCGTGTTAGCCAGGATGGTCTCGATCTCCTGACCTCATGATCCACCCACCTCGGCCTCCCAAAGTCCTGGGATTACAGGCGTGAGCCACCGCACCCGGCCTTACTTTAGATATGTAAATTCTGCCTCACATCTATGCCTCTGACCACTTGGTTGGGAGCTACTGAAGAACAGGGATGGAAATGTGTTCATCTCAGTACAGCCAGCACCCTGCATACCGTCTCTATTAGTTTTCTAGGACTGCTGTAACAACGTACCACAAACTGGATGGCTTGAAACAACAGAAATTTATTGTCTCATAGTTCAAGTCTCAAGTCTAAAACCATGATGTCGGCAGGACCATATTTCTGAAGTCTTGGGAAAGAATATTTCTATGGCTCTTTCTGTTTTATGGCGTTGCAGGCAATCCTTGGCATTTCTTTCTTTCTTTCTTTTTTAGATGGAGTCACACTTTAGGCTGGAGTGCAGTGGCGCAATCTCGGCTCACTGCAACCTCTGCCTCCCGGGTTCACACCATTCTCCTGCCTCAGCCTCTCGAGTAGCTGGGACTCCAGGTGCCCGCCACCACGCCCAGCTAATTTTTTGTATTTTTAGTAGAGACAGGGTTTCACCTTGTTAGCCAAGATGGTCTCGATCTCCTGACCTCGTGATCTGCCCGCCTCGGCCTCCCAAAGTGCTGGGATTACAGGCGTGAGCCACCACACCCAGCCTTTTTTTCTTTTCTTTTCTTTTTTTCGCGACAGTCTCACTCTGTTGCCCAGGCTGGAGTGCAATGGCTTGATCTTGGCTCACTGCCTCCCAGGTCAAAGTGATTCTTCCGCCTCTGCCTCCTGAGTAGCTGGGATTACAGGCATGCACCACCACACACGGCTTATTTTTGTATTTTTAGTAGAGACAGGATTTCACTGTGTTCGTCAGGCTGGTCTCAAACTCCTGACCTCAGGTGATCCACCGGCTTCTGCCTCCCAAATTGCTGGGATTACAGGCGTGAGCCACCACGCCTGGCCAATCCTTGGCATTTCTTAACTTCCAGCTGCATAACTCCAACCTCTGCCTATGTTTTCGCAAGGTGTTCTTCCCTCTTTGTGCCTGTGTCTTCACATGGCGTTTTCCTCTCTGGTTGTCTGGTCCAAGAGTGCTTCTCCTTTTCTTATCAGGTCACCAGTTATATCGCATTAAGGGCCGACCCTATACCAGTACAACCTCACCTTACCTTACATCTCAATTACATTTTCAAAGACCCTATTTCTAAATGAGATCACATTCTCAAGGACCAAGGGTTCTTTAACTATCAACCCACAACACTGTCTAACACACAGCAGGTGCTATGTGATGTCCTAATAAAAGAGTGGATGGATCCATGACTAAATAAACAAACCTAGCCTTCTGATAACCAGATACAGACATTCAGGTGGTAGCTCATTCTTCTGTAACCACAGCTATGCTTTAAAATCCTGTGGTTTCTTGGCACTCACAGAAGTCTGCCATTTAAAATCTATGATTAGATAATCCTGTAATAAATCTCTCAGTAATTCCCTTCCAGGGTCCTGTATTTGTATCCAATTATGAAAAACCCAAGCCAGGGCCTCAAAGGCATAATTTTAAACCCATTTTTTTTCTTTCTGAGTTAGCTACTGCAGAGAGCATACTAATTATATAAGTCTCCTTTCACCTGTAGAACGTTCTGACTTGAAGACAAACCACTTCTTTGTAACCACATCCAATTTGGAGAGCAGAAGAAACTGACAAGATTCAAGACAGAAGCCTGCTATTAGCTTTTCTCAGTTCTTAACTTTTTAACGTATGTAATTAGCTTCTTCATTTTTCTCACCTTTTCCACCATAATAGATGAAAATGAAAGGAAGTACTGCAAATTGTACAAAAACCTAAGGTTTATGATACACTGGATTTTGACTTGCACATTTCCATTTCTTTCATCTCACTTCAAAATCATCAGGTGGTGGCAATGGCTTCCAAGGTATTGAGCCCAAACTCCTATTAGATGTTGCATTTCCTTGGCCAGCATTTGCCCTTTCCTCAACCCTTACTGACTTACACCCCTTCCCCCCACACAAGATTTTCCTCAAGCCAGTAAATGAAGAGCACATGCAGTCAGCTGTTTTTTCTTTTTTTCTTTTTGAGACGGAGTCTCGCTTTGTCGCCCAGGCTGGAGTGCAGTGGCGCAATCTTGGCTCACTGCAAGCTCCGCCTCCCGGGTTCACGCCATTCTCCTGCCTCAGCCTCCTGAGTAGCTGGGACTACAGGCGCATGCCACCATGCCCGGCTAATTTTTTGTATTTTTAGTAAAGAGGGGGTTTCACCGCGTTAGCCAGGATGATCTCGATCTCCTGACCTCGTGATCCGCCCACCTCGGCCTCCCAAAGTGCTGGGATTACGGGCCTGAGCCACCGCGCCCGGCCTTCAGCTTTCTAAATCTCCTATTCTTCAACCCACTTAGCCAGCATGTTATGCTAGATTAGGTTATCTTTTTGCAGCCCAGGGAAACATGAAAAAAAGTATCAATATTGGGATTAAATAAATGATTAATGTCGCAGGCAACTTTATGCACGTTTACTTGTACTTACAAAAACAGCAAAGCATGACATCCTAAAAACTGTTTGCAACTCTTCTACTAAGGCAGAGATACACAAGTGGAGCAGAGTAAGGAATGATGCCAGCATTTGGAAAACAAAACAAAACAAACCAAAACATAATTCTGATAGATCCTTTCTGCAGAATGTGAAATTCTAGTGTTTCTTAGAATGCGTTATGGCTTGACCCAACCTCGTCTAAAGAGACTGGTTCTTGGTCCAAAATATAAGCTGACGGCTTAGCTCCATCACTTTGCTGGATTTAAAAATAAGCAAGATGGATAATACATTTCTAGAAGAAAATATAACTGGGAATAGCATCATTTAAGAATTAAAATAGCAGCTCCTGCTCTTTTTTTGGAACACTGATTATATGTCAGACTCTGGGCTTAAGATTTTATGTACAATATTCATTTGCTTCTGTGAAATAGGTTATTTTTTAAGTTACATTGTACAGATGAGAAAACCAGATTTCAGATAATTTAATTACTTTGTGCAAAATGACACAGATAAGTGGATGAGCCCAATTTCTAATCCACATTTATCTGATCCAAACGCTCATGTTCTTAAGAATTTGCCATATATAATATACATTCCCATGGCTCAGAAGGCTAAGGACAGGATGACCACAATAAGCAACCCTATTCAGAAAGGGAAGAGTGAGAGACACACAGCAGAACTAATTCTGCTGTCAGATTGAGCACCTGTTACGTTGAGCCTTGGTGAGGGGTTGTGGATGTTCCTAGGATTTGCCCGTTCTTCTCTCTGGGAGGGACTCTCCAGTCTCTTGCTTTTCTTGGTCTTCCGCTCTTCTGAGAAATTTTCCCTTTTCTATTATCTTCCATAACAACATCCTAAGTAGGCATTGGAAACTCAGCCCTCCCAGGGGTTAAGCATCTTCCTCAGTCAGCTTTCTAATCAAAGGATCTAGGCATTCAAGGCCTGTTTTCAATATCAAATAATCCAACATCTTAGTCCACATCATAAGAATGTAATTCACTTATAGAAATACTAGTGTTGAATCTACTGATTCTGACTCTAGTCAATTCCATGTGACAACATTCACACCCATAGTTCTTCTTTATACATATTTTAATGTTCGTTCTATTTTTTTCACCACCAGTCCTTGCCCTCATCTAATGCAAAGTACCACAAATTTACAAGACTTTAATGAGGAAGTCACACATTTACTATTGAGACATTTTGTCTAGATAGAAGGTTAAAGTGCACACCACCTCTTCATTGAATTTTTACTCTTATTAAACCTTAGTCACTGATTTGTCTCTTGTTAACAGGTTGAGTTTTAATTGGCCACTTTTGACTCTATGTCTTATCTTTTACCATATGAGGCTTAAAAATTCACTTCTTACTGCCCCATAAAGCTCTGAAATATCTCTGTTCCATTTTATTCTTGCTTGTATACTGGCCACTTTTTCCTAAGCTCATCCCTTCTCATAATAACTCAAAAGCAGTCAACAGCACCCAACCTCTTCTGCTACAGCTACAATTCTGTTATGTGATTTGTCTTCAAGTTATCAAGGGCAACAATTTCAGCAAACTTTCACCATTGCCTAGCTCATCATCTTTCAAGCTTCAAATACAGTTGTTGTTGGGTTTTGTTTGTTTGTTTTTGTTTTTTTGTGAACAGCCAAATAGTCACGGTGCCAATACCTCAAATTTTAGATTTCTGTGATGGTGGTGTCTCATTTCTAAGTACTAGTTATTCCTTCAACAGGACTGACAAATCAGGTCTTGATTCTTAAAGCATGGCTCCGGAAATATGTATCACTTATGTTTGCACTTCAATGATCAAAGCAAGTCATATGGGCCACACCTAATAGATAGGAAAGTGAAATACTACCCACCATGTGCCCAAGAAGAGAGCCAGAAATAATTGGAAGATAGCACTAACGTCTACAAAAACACTTGAGAAAATTAACAACAACTATCTATTATCATCTAAAATCCAATCTATTCTGTTTGGTTGTTCTTTTTGTCTATCCTTACAGTTATAACGTATTGTCTTAATTACTATAGCTTCTAATGATTTCTGATGTTCAGTAAAGTAAGTCTTCAGATTTTGTGGAATCTTTGCTATTCTTGGCACTTTTCAGTTTTATATAACTTTTAAAGTCAACTTGCCAAGTTTCATATGAAAAAAATCAGTCTGTTGGGATTTCAATACAGTTTATATTAAATCTTTAGACTGGGTTAGGGAGAAATAATATCTTTACAATACTGAGTCTTCAGTTTCATTAATATAGCATGTTCTTCCATTTATTTTTCTTTATCTTAATGATGTTTTATATCTTCTATATAAAGTTATGCATGTTTGATAGATTGTTTATATGTATTTGAAATTTTTCATGTTACTATGCATTATATCCTAAATGGAAATAGTACATTTTATTTCTAATTTGTTGTTGATGACTTCGAAACAGAATTGGTTCTTGTATGTCAAATCTGTATCTAGCAACCTCGGAAAATCCCCTTAGTAATTATTTTTATATTTAGATTATTTTGGATTGTCTATACATCTCATCTGTGAATAACAGTTTTAATTTTTATTTTCAAGCTTTATAACTTTTGTTTTGTTTTCTATTATCGAGCTGACTAGGTACTAGAGTCCAATGATGAATTGAAATGTCTAAAAGAGCCATCCTGTCTCTCAGTCTCAGGGGAAAGCTTTCAACATTTCAACATTATGTACAATGATGATTCTTAGTTTTTTGTAGACAACTTCTAACAGATTAAATAAGTTCCTTTCCATTATTACTTCATCAGAGTATATATTATAAATTATACATTGAATGTTATCAAATGATAACATTCCTAGAATTAACTAAACCTGGTTTTCAAGTAATATTCTTTTATATATTACTGAATTCATTTTGTTAATATTTTACGAATTTTCGTGCACTGGTTTGTGAGAGAAAATGAACTATATAGAACTATGCATAAATAATATGCATAACTACATAAAAATAATATAACAATAAAAAATTTTTTAGAATATTTATTTTATTATGGTATTCTTGTTAGGATTTGGTATCAGGCTTAAGTTGGCCTTATTAAATGGGGTAGGAAATATTTTCCCTTTTCTTATTTTCTGGAATATTTTCTATGATATTGGAGCCATTTCCCAAATAAATGTTTGATACATATTCCAGTGAATCTCTCTGGTTTGTAATTTTCTCAGTGGGAGAATTTGAAATTACTGATTCAGTTTCTCCATGGGTATTAGACAATGCAGATGTTCCCTTTATATGTTTATTCATTTAGGCTGGGTGCAGTGGCTCACACCTGTAATCCCAGCACTTTGGGAGGCTGAGGCAGGAGGATCACTTGAGCCCAGGAGGTCAAGACCAGCCTAGACAACACAGCGAGACCTTTTCTCAAAAAAGAAAAATAAATAAGTTAATTAAATAAAACGTTTACTCATTTAATCAAAATGTTCAAATATATTAAAATATAGTTAATTATGTCATCTAATAGTTTTTCTTCTAATGAACTTTAAATGTCTGCAACATCTGTAATAGAAATATTCCCTTTTTATTGTTGACATTGGTTGTTTTTGCCTTATCTATTTTTTCTTGATCATTCTTGTCACAGAGTTATTAATTGTGTTAGTCTTCTTAATGCACCAATGTTTGACTTTGTTGACTCTCTTTAATGTATGTTAGTTTTCTATTTTATTATTTTGTCTTACGATCTTCATGCTTCTACATTTTAAAAAATTAAATTTGCAGATCTTTTTCTACAATCTTGAGACAGATGATTGGATAATTAATTTTTAGACTTTTAAAAATATTTTCAGCAAAGGCTATGTATTTCCCTCTCTATGAACATTTGGCTGCATCCTATCATTTTTATAGTATTCCATTCAAAATATTTTCTAATTTCCACTTTGGTCCACAAGTTATTTCAAGTGTATTTTTTAATCCAAAAACATTAGTTATTTTCTTTTTGTTGTTGATTTTTAGCTTATTTTCACTGTGGTAAGATAAAATATTCTAAAAGATTTCAATTCTTGGTTGTTGAGACTTGTTTTGTGGCTCAAAATAATTTTTTAATAGGTGAGCATTGTCTCTGTTCTTGAAAAGACTATGTATTTTGCAGTTCATTGGTTGCAGTATTTTATGTGTATAAATTAGATTCCATTTGATAATCATGTTATCCAAATATTCATGCTTAGTAATTTTTTGTGTGCTTTTTCTGTTAATTACTGAGGGAACTGTGTTAAAAATCTCTTAACATGATTATAAATCATTTTTTATCATCTTAGTTATGCTTAAAGTATTTTGAACCTTTGCCATTAAGACATACATATTTAGAGTATTTAGGTCTCCCTGGTAAATTTAAGATTTTATTATTAAGAAATATCACTTGATCTTTAAAAATATTCACCTTAAATCCTATATTGTATGATATTAACATTGTTATACCAGCTTTCTTATTATTAAGCTTTGCATAAAATATTTTTTCTCTTTACTTCCTGAATTCTTAATTTTAATGTATCTCCTATAATAATCACATAATCCTGTTTTAGTCTACCTAAAATATTGCATTCTAATTGAAATATTTCATCTATTTTCATTTAAGGAAAGTACTGATACACTTGATTTTAAATTTACCACTTTATTCTTATTATTTGTCTTACCTGTTCTATATTACTACTTTCTCCCATTTTTCTGTCTCTTCTGGATTGAGTGGTTTTTATTATTCTACTACTCTAATAACTCATTTGTTTAACATTATTTTACTACTATTTAAAGAGCTACCTGGAGATTTCAAAAAATACTCTTGGTTAATTATAGTCTAGTATAAATTAGTATTTTAATTTCATCCTAATAATTCCAGAAACTTGAACCCCATTTTTCTTATCCCAATATGTGTAGTATATTTTTGTTTGTATATACTGTAGCCCTAACAAGACATTATATTATCTTTGATTTATAAACTCAATATTTCATTAAGATATAATTGTATATTTATTCTTTCTTTTGCTCTTTATTCTTTTTTCATCTCCAGGTTTCCATATGGTATTATTTTCCTTCTGATTGAAGATGCATTAGTATTTTCTTTAGTAAGTCAAGCAAATACCTTTTCACCCTATTCCATATCTCCTTAGCCCACTCCTGATTTTAGGTCTACCTGTACTGAACAGGTTTGCACACAATGACAACATCCCATCTCCAGTGTCAGCTATGTCTCTGTACTTTCAGAGTCAGTGCATTTGCTAAAGTCAAGGGTGCTTACTCAGCCTACCTGCAGAACAGCCCCAGGTATGACCATGGAGGCTACCCTCATCAATTCTCTGTCAACTTTTTCTTTATGTAATTTGAAACAATGATATTAAATATATACTATTAGATTTATATATCCTCTTGAATTTATCCCTTTAGCATTATGAAAATGGCGGTCATTATCATCAGTATTCTTTTTACTAGTATTTGCACTATTTGTCATTTTAATGCTTTTAATTACAACCTTTGTTTTTATATTTGAATTTTGTTTTTTATAAACAACAGATAGTTGAGTCTCTTTAACTTTTGCATTTTGTGGTTTTACGATGATACATTTAGGTCAAGATTGCCTCTCCATTTATTCTACTCAGATTCCACTGGGCTATCTAAATTTAAAGTTTGTTTTCTTTGAACAATTTTGAGAAATATTTAGTCATTATCTTTTTGAATATTGATTTTTCTCCCATTCCTTTTCTTAATTCCTTCTGTAACTCTTATTAGAAATGCTGTGTATCTTTTATATAGTCCTCTGTATATTTTTATGCCTATTTAATGTACTTAATCTCTACATTTCTTTGACTGCCTTCTTGACAAGACTGAAATTATCTTCCAGTTTACTAATTCTCTCTTCAGTTGTGTTAAATCTTCTCTGTAATTAATCAATTTTGTTTTTTGACATTTTATTTGTATTGTCATACTGGAGGTTCTATCTTATTATTTCTAAAACTTATTTTGTTTTTATAGACCTTTGTTCCTTTTTCATGTTTTCATTTATTTAAACATTAAACATCATTATTTTATTTTGCGCCTCTGATATTTCTATTAACTAATTCTGTAGAGTGTGCTCTTTCTGCTAGCTTTGCCTCATGGTGGCTTATTTACTTGTGTGTTTTCTGATATTTTTTGTGAGCTCCTCATCTTTCTTGGAACTTTGTCTATGGGAACACCTTGAAGCACACTTTGAATTTGCTTTCCTTCAAAAAGCATTTAATGATTGACTTGCTGATCACATATTTTTTCATCATGTGTGTAGTGGAAGAATTTTTTTCTCTCTTCTGTCAACGAGTTCAAGATGGTCAAATCCCTTGGATGTCTCCTTCTATGTATCAGGTTTTCCCTTTTTTTTTTTTCCTTATTTATCCTTCCCTTAAGGATGTAGCTCTCTTGGGCTCAACTTGATGCTAGTGTCTCTTACTGGATTCTCCATACCGAGTAAGCCCTAGGATTTATCACGGTAATGTACTTTTCGAGGTGAAAGTACAAGGCTCTTAGTGTTTGGCAAGGTCATCATCTGTCTACTGGAATCAAGGGTGTACAAAATGTTTGGCTCATCCTGGTGATGTTAACACCCACTGATATTCTTTGCCTAGATCAATTTATTCATTAAAATTCACGGAAGAGTGGTATTTTTATAGTAACATTGTTTACTCCTTCTTTCACTGTAACATTTCTATAAGGAGAAAATGCTCCCTCATCAATCCTACTTCATTACCCTGAATAGAGTTGCCAGACTTATCAAACCAACAGGATGCCTAGTTGTTTAAGTTTCAGACAAACCACAAGTAATTGTTTAGTGTTAAGTACAATATTTGGGACATACTTACACTAAAAATTTGTTAGTTGCTTATCTAGGCATTCTGAATTTTATCTGTCAAACCAAACTCTGACATTCATACATTTCACGTATTTTTTAGAAACAGGATAAGTGCTTGATTCTCTTACTTCATTTACCAGTTACGATGATAATAAAAATGAGTTGGTTGGAAATGATGTGGAATTCTCAATGTATCCTCTTTTAAAAAGTTATTATAAATAGAATATTCACAAAAATGGATATATTATTTCATTAAAATAGACAAACCCTAAAAATTTGAAATAACAAAACTGCATTTCTAATAAGTTAAAATAAAGCTAGAAATTAATAATGAAATCGGAAACAAAAAACCCAGGCACAGCCAAGCTCAGTGGCTCATGCCTGTAATCCCAGCACTTTGGGAGGCCAAGGCAGACGGATCACAGGAGGTCAGGAGTTCGAGAACAGCCTGGCCAACGTGGGGAAACCCCATCGCTACTAAAAATACAAAAATGAAGGCATAGGAATGACACAATGGACTTTGGGGATTCAGGGGGAAAGAGTGGGAAGAGGGTAAGGGATGAAGACTACAAATTTTGTGCAGTGTGTACTGCTCAGGTAATGGGTGCACCAAAATCTCACAAATCACCACTAAAGAACTTACTCATGTAACCGAATACCACCTGTTCCCCAGTAACCTATGAAAATAAAAAAATATTTAAAAAAATTAGCCAGGCATGGTGGTGGGTGCCTGTAATCCCAGCTACTCAGGAGGCTGAGGCAGGAGAATCACTTGAACCCGGGAGGCGGAAGTTGCAGTGAGTCGAAATCACGCCACTGCACTCCAGCCTCGGCAACAGAGAGAGAACCTCCGTAAAAAAAAAAAAAAAAAAAAGGCAGCTGAACATCAATATTTTCTTAAAGAATAAAGATTTGCTATGAAAGAATGTATATAAGTCACAAGAAAAAAATTACTACACAGAAAACTTAGGAAATGTAGCCAAAGTTGTAAATCAGAAGATAATCCATAGCCTAAGAAACCAAAGTTTGCCAAATTTATTTGACTACAAAACTTATGTTTTTCGCTATTATGTACTCACATCTCATAAAATTAATGCTTCACAATAAAATTACTTTGTGCAATTAAAGAAGACCAGAGTTTGGGTTGAGGGAGTGAAATAAACGCAGGATTTAATATAGTTTTTATTGGTTTGTTTTAGGCTTACACTGAATAACATTCACACAAAATTCCTAAGCCAACTGTAATGTGCAAAATAAAAGAGGAAATGACTCCATGTTATGTGCTCATTGCACAGTGAATGAATGAATATCCACCCAGTAATACTGGGAAAACCTGCTACTTAGGGGAAAATGGCATTCCTCTGACACTATTAGCACATTTTTATGTAGTTTGTGGTTGAACTCTGATAAATTTGTTGACATATCTAAGCATTGCAAAGTGATGTCAATCCAAGAGCAGAAAAAGTTATGATTTTTGTGAAATCCTTCTGCTTAAACCCCTCCAATAACTTGCCATTTCACGTGGAGTAAAAGCAAGTCTTTTCAGTATCCTTCATGGACAAACCTACGTGATCTCCCAGCCCCCGACCATTCAGGCCACTCATCTTTCCTCATGCATCTCCTATTTGTTGCCACTTGCCCACTCTTTTACAAGGACACTAGCTTTCTTGCTGTTTCTAAAACATGATAAGTGCTCAGCTACCTTGGGGCTTTTACACTGCCTATTCCCTCTGCTTGGAACACCCTTCCCCTCAATAATCACGTGACGAATGCCCTAAACTCTTTCAAGCACTTGATCGAAGGTCATCTTCACAGTGAGGCTTATCCTGCTGTAGTATTTAAAGTTAAAAATTCTTTACTTGGCACTCCTCATCTCTTTTTCCTGTTCTGATTTTTACTTTTATATAGTATTTACACCTTTTACCATTGCATATAATTCATTATTTTGCAGCTATTTTCTGCCTCCTCCTGTAGATAGTCTATAAGAGCCAGATTTCTATTTGATTTACTAAAGTATCCATGTGCCTAGAATACTGCCTGGCACATGAGAGATAGGCATTCATTTTACAATGTTCAATAAATACATGGATAATGAACATGCAGTTTGTATTAAGAATGTGAGGGAGAATGGATTAAATAAACTCACACCATGTTTTTCATTTTAGAATCTGTGTTATTTTGAGTTAACATGCTCCACGACCAGATACAAAGGCATGGCCACTGATCCATGGGTGGGAATTCACTTCCACAGCCATCAGGGAAAAGGGAAAAAGAAAAGTATTTTTAACAGTTTGTCACCCTAGGGGATCTCTAAAATCCAGTTTTGATGAAAATCAAATTTCAATAGCACGAGACACCATCTACAATTCTCAGGATCCAGGGATGTTTAAGGCAAATTAATTTGATACAAAATAAAAACAAGACACTACTTGGAATGATCCTCATTAAATAATGTTCCAACCTATTTCCCACAGCTCTTTAGTTTTTCAGAGAAGATTCTCTTTTGCATATTCCAGTTTCCTAAAGGTTATTCTTTCTATTTCCTCTTCTCCAATGCCTCTGGCCAGATTAGAAAGTGATGACCGAAGGACCTTTACAATTCAAAGAATAAATCAAAAATGTCATGCGCATCTGAATTCACCCTGTTAGCCCATCTCTCTTATCAGACCCCATATCCTTGGGAATGAAATAGCTGGAGCCAACCCCATGGGAACCACGCATGTCCATCGGTCTCTGATTCGCCAGGCTGCTGGAGCAGCGGCTGTTAGCCTGCCATGAATAATGTAGTAGGTGCATGTCTCTGATTTGCTCCTTTATTAGCACTTGAAGGTGAATAGCAAATTTGTTTAATGTCATTTACCATTCTATTCTAAATTTGAGAGAAGTATATAGAATCATTGCATATCTGTGCTTCCAGGAATGTGCTTTTAAAAAATAAACCAGTAATCATTTGTGTAAATTAATATAACTGCTCTGTTAACGCTTCCCCCTTTAATATGTAGCACAGGGTTCTAGGGCTGTCTTCCATCTGTACCTGAAAAGGCAGCAAAATGCCATCGTGGTAAAGGTAACGGAAGGTAAGGTAAAGCGGTAGAAAGACAATAATAATGCTTGCTCTACAGAGCGAGGAGCCACTCTGTGCCAGCCCATTACTGGGAGTTTTCATAAATTATTTTCTTTAAAAATAGAGAATATAAACATACCCCAGAATGTTGATGCACTCAAAGTGATCTTAAATAATATATTACCAAACACATCAAAGAGGCCCTGGGAAGAGAGTCTTCCTCATGTTATGGCTACAGGGGATACTACAGGGGATGAGAGAAACATGGAGGCTCTTGAAAAGCAAAGCTAGGGGGGATTCTGAAGGAGGAGCAAGTCACAAAGCAAGAGGGGCCCATTGTTCATTGTTCTGAGAACTATTTTCTCAATGACATGTCTCTTTCTCCAGTCAAAAAGGTTAAAAAAAAAAAAAAAAAAAAGGAGGGAAGGGAGGAGAGAGGAAAGAAAAAGGGAGGGTAAGGCAGGCAGGGAGGGAGGGAGGAAGGGAAGGAGGGGAAAAGCCAACTCAAATTGAGCCCAGTACCATGCAGATGTTTTGCACAGATTATTTCATTTACCTGCATAGTTACCTTGTAATATCAATACTATGATTGTCCTCACTTATCTGACAAAGGAACCACAGCTTGCTGAGGTTAAGTATTTGGCCCAGGATCACATAGCTAGTTAGTGAGGATGCCCATATTTGAATCAAGATCGGTTTGATCTGAATGTAGAACTCTTCCTTGTTCTAAGTGCTACAAACAAGGGAACGCATTGAGCATAACCTAGTGCCCTCCTCCCTCAGTTAATCCTCTCCTTGGGGCACAAACCTTAATCAGTTGCATAGAGATCAATGCAACAGCTCTGGTTTCCACACACAGTGCTGTCAAAAGCCCTATTCCTTCAGAGAGTTACAGGATGCTTTTAATTTTCCTCCTCACTGGGAAAGCCAGGATGCTTAGAACCAAGTGTTACCTTCAAGTAAACTCACTGGTTTGACCTTTAGGGTTAGTAGGCTGTGTATCTTCTTTTTTCTTATAATTATTTCTATTTTATATTCCTTTCATATTAGTTTTATTATTCTGCCTGTTCAAGTGTCTTTCTGCATGCATGCTCCCTGATCATGAGACACAGCAAACACTGCTAGTTTGGGCTTACTTTGGACTATTCCATTATCACCTGAGCACTTGTGGAAATAACTGAAATATCAGACAAACACTGTGTATCACAATTTTGTCATCACATGGTGTGTAATAAATAGACAGTATTATATAATACATGGATAAATACTGTTTGCAAGTAGCATGAAGACAGTGTCAATTCCTATGTGAGTTCAGCCGTTAAGTGCTCAATCAGATCCCTGATTGGCATGAGATTTCTGCTTCTTCCCAAACCTAGGTGGAGGGGACACAGTAGTATATGAGTGTATCAGTTACGATAGGTCAGGTTATTCCATGGTAACAAGTAACCCCAATTTCCCAATGGCTTTACCAACAAAGGCTCATTTCTCTTCCATACCACATATTCATCACGGGTTCTCTGGGAGCTCTGTTTCCTATTACCCTACTCTTTAACCCAGGCTAACAAAGGAGCCACCATTGGAGACACTGCCCATCAATATACTGGAGGAAAAGGGAGAGTTTCTGACTAGATATAAAACATGTTACCTTCTCTCACATTTCACTGGCAAGTCACTCAACCACCAATATCTCCAAAGAGATGAAGTGCAGTCCTACCAGAGGCCCAAGAGAAGAACTGGAAGAATTTGGTGGGATGATTGTCCCATTACATGAGTTCAGTCTTTGTCCTATCTTTTATGGCAATTGTCAGTTTCCTGGCTCTTTTCCCCTTTGATCCACTTGACATAGCTCCCTGAATTAGTTTGCTAGGTCTGCCATAACAAAATACCACAGACCAAGTGTCTTAAACAGCAGACATTTATTGTCTCACAGGTTTAGAGACTGGAATTCCAACATCCAGGTGTCAGCAGAATTGGTTTCTTCTAAGTCCTCCATTCTACTCTTGTAGATGACCACCCTGTCCCTCCCTATGTCTTCATATGGTCTTTCCTCTGGGTGTGTGTGTGTGTGTCTGGGTTCTAATCTCCTTTTCTTGCAAGGACACTACTTATATTTGATTAGGACTCAACCCTTAGGGGTTCCCTAATCAAATATAAGTAGTGTCCTTGCAAGAAGTTATTTTAACCTAAACATGTCTATAAAGATGCTACTTCCAAATACAGTCACATTCTGAGGTACTGGGGGTTAGGACTTCAAAATGTGAGTTTGGAAAGGACACAGTTGAGCCCATACCAATGTCTTACTCGCCATCATTGTGTAGTCTCTACAGGTCAAGGCCTGCCTTCTCTTTCTCCAATCTGTTTTCTACACAACCACCAATGGGACTGTGTTGCATAGGGCTCAGGAAAACACCTACAAGCATCACTTGGTGCAAGGTGAAACTGCCAGAAGTGCTGACAAAGTGCACAGGTCTCCCATTCTCCTGCCATATTGAGGAAAAGCGTGTTGGGACTAGACATGGCTGGACACAGTGGCTTCCCTTTTTATGGAACGATTGTGAGAACATCCTTGCACAAGGGGACTCAAAATTATGGTTTATGCACTAAGTAGTTTGGACTTACATGCCAGATGTTTAGAGGAGTGTTAGGAAGTACCAGAAGCAAAGCAACTGGAGAGTTTGCAATCCATTAGTCCTAGTGGAAAGGAGAGCCCTGTTCCCTCTAGGCTCCAAGGGCATCTGATAGACAGTCTCTGGTTCACTTCATAGCCGTCTGGTTGGAAACACAAATTTAATTCCATTCTGTTTCCCAAAACATGCCAAAGGTTTCACATTGCTCATAGGATAAAGCCAAACTCCTAACCGTGACCTTCAAAGCCCTGCATAAACTGTCCCCTGTTCACCTCTCCAACCTCCTCTTGAGCCTCTCTCCTCTTGTTCATTATGGTCCAGCCACACTAGTCTCCTTCAGTTTCCTTGAACACCCGGCATTCTGCCCTGCTTTGATGCCATCATACATAGTGGTTGCTAGACCTGGAATGCTCCCCCAATACTCTTTAAATTGCTAATTCCTTCTCATGCTTCAGAGTTAGGTTTATGTCACTTCCTTAGAGATCCGTCTACATCTTCAATGTGAATAATGTCCCCTCAAATTAGCCTTGTTAATTTTTAATCACCCTATTTGTTAGATTTATGGCACTTATCACTATTATACCAGCGGTTATATTTGCACACACACAGACATATACTTGTGTGTTATATAATTTTCTCCCTAATATTTTGCTCGTCACTATACCCCAGCATACAGCAAAGCACCTGGCTTATGTGGTAAGCAATAAATAGAATGGGATTGTTGGAACATTTGATGTTTATGGAATCCCTTTTGAAAGAATATAAAACGTCATGCAGACATCAGCTGGTATTATTCCTGTTAATCATATGAGCCATATTTGCTTAACGGCATTTCCAGAATAGGGAGAGTGAAGGGAAGTGGTAAAAACAGAAAGGCAAGGCTGGGCACAGAATTATCCACTGATGCAACCCCTCACTTACTCCATCCAATTCTTCCCTAAGGAGTAAGTTAAGGAGGCTGTGTTATCTGGTAGCCAAAGCACTGATGTCCACAGTGTTCTCAAGCCAAAGGCCATTCACTGCTGGCATTTACTAGATACTTATGGCTGAAAGGAATCTGCAGCTTTGTCAAGGAGAAGGAGGAGAGTGAGGAACCAAGATGTTATAGATGCCTGCTAGGTGATACTACTTCACCCCATCCTTAGCCACAGGAGCTAAAGATTACCCATTTTACTGATGAGGAAACTAAGACATAGTAAGAAGCCTTGCCTTCGAACACTCATGCAGGTTATAATAGAGTCACAACCTAAACCCAGGTCTCTGTGATGTAAAAACCCACATTCTCCCTGGTGCTTTTCAATCCTCAAAATATCTGGCGGTGCTTTGGTTTAGAAACCACATCCACATTCATTATCCAAGTTCAATCTCAACATGATCTTCCAGCCCAAAAATTATTCTTTCACATGAAGAAAAAGAATATGTACAACAGACAGACTTGAATGAATGAATGAATGGATGGATTCATCTTCTAGAAGGTGAATTGAAAGGACTAAAACTGAAATACACATCACCTAGCTTCAGATCCAGTCCTCTTGCACTGTATTTGAGTTTTGGATGGAGAAAATAGCCAAAGAATCCCTTTTGGTCACAAACTGCTAAGTAAGGGGATAGACAATTTGCTCCACAAATATTTATTTTTGATTTTATTTTTCAACTTTTATTTTAGATTTAAGGAGTACCTGTGTGGGTTTGTTACCTGTGTATATTGCATGATGCTGAGGTTCGAGGTACAAATGATCCCATTACTCAAGTAAGTATAGTACCCACTCGTTTTTTAACCCTTGCCCTTCTCTTCCCTCTAGTAGTCCCCAGTTTCTATTGTTGCCATCTTTATAAGTACCCCATATTTGGCTCCCACTTATTGACAACATGCGGTATTTGGTTTTCTGATTCTATATTAATTCACTTAGGATAATGGCCTCCAGCTCCATTTATGTTGCCGCAAAAGACATGATCTCATTCTTTGTTATGGCTGTATGGTATTCCATGGTATATATGTACCATATTTTCTTTATCCATTCCACCATTGATGGGCACCTAGATTGAGTCCATGTCTTTGCTATTGAAAATAGCGCTATGATGAACATATGAATGCAGGTGTCTTTTTGGTAGAATGATTTGTTTTCTTTTGAATATATACCCAGTAATGGGATTGCTGGGTTGAATGGCAGTTCTGTTTTTGGTTCCTTGAGAAATCCCCAAACTGCGCAGCAGCTGAATTAATTTACACTCCCACCAACAGTGTGTAAGTGTTCTCTTTTCTCTGCAGACTCACCAGTATCGGTTGTTTTTTTGAATTTTTAATAATAGCCATTCTGACTGGTGTGAAATGGTGTCTCATGGTGGTTTTGATTTGCATGTCTTTGATGATTAGCGATGTGGAGCATTGTTTCATATATTTGTTGGCCGATTATATGTCTTCTCTTCTTCTTTTGAGTAGTATCTGTTCACATCTTTTGCCCATTTTTTAGTGGAATCATTTGGGATTTGCTTGATTATTTGTTTAAGTTCCTTATACATTCTGGACATTAGAGCTTTGTCAGATGTGTAGCTTGTGAATATTTTCTCCCATTCTGTTGATTGCCCTGTTTACTCTGTTGATAGCTTATTTTGCTGTGCAGAAGCTCGTTGGTTTAATTAGGTCCAACTCATCAATTTTTGTTTTTGTTGCAATTGCTTTTGAGGACTTAGTCATAAATTCTTTCCTAAGGACAATGTCCAAAATGGTGTTTCTAGGTTTTCTCTTAGATTCTTATAGTTTGAGGTCTTACATTTAAATCTTCAATCCATCTTGAGTTAATTTTTGTATATGGTAAAAGGTAGAGTTCCAGTTTTATTCATCTGCATATGGCTGGCCAGCTATCCCAGCACCACTTATTGACTAGGTAATCCTTTTCTCATTGTTTATTTTTGTTGGCTTTGTCAAAAGTCAGATTGTAATAAGTATTTGGCTTTATTTCTGGGTTCTCTTTTCCATTCCACAGGTCTATGTGTCTGTTTTTGTACCAGTACCATGCTGTTTTGATTACTGTAACCTTATAGTATAGTTTAAGGTCAGATAATGTGATGCATCTGGCTTTGTTCTTTTTGCTTAGGATTACTTTGACGATTCAGGCTCTTTTTTGGTTCTGTGAAATTTTCAAATAGTTTTTCTAGTTCTGTGAAAAATAACATTGGTAGCTTGATAGGAATAGCATTGTTTGTAGATTGTTTTGGGCAGTATGGCCATTTTAATGATATTAATTCTTTCACTCCATGAGCATGAAATATTTTTCCATTTGTTTGTATCATCTATGACTCCTTTTAGCAGTATTTTGTAGTTCTCCTTATAGAGATCTTTTACCTCTTTGGTTAGATGTATTCCTAGTATTTTATTTTTTTTGTGGCTATTGTAAGTGGGATTGAGTTTTTTATTTGTCTCTCAGCTTGAAAGTTATTGGCATATGGAAATGCTACTGATTTTTGTTCATTGGTTTTGTATTGTGAAAGTTACTGAAGCCATTTATATGTTCCAGAAGGCTTTTGGTGGAATCTTTGGGGTTTTCTAGGTATAGAATAACATTATCAGTGAAGATAAATGGTTTGACTTCTTTTCCTATTTGGATGTGTTTTGTTTCTTTCTCTTGCCCAATTGCTCTGGCTAGCACTTCCAGGATTATGTTGAATAGGAATTGTGTGAGTAGGCATGCTTGTCTTATTCCAGTTCTCATGAGGAAAGCTTCCAGTTTTTGCCCATTCAGTATGGTATTGTCTGTGGGTTTGCGACAGATGGGTGTTATTATTTTGAGGTATGTTCCTTTGATGCCTAGTTTCTTGAGGGTTTTTATCATGAAGGAATGTTTGGATTCTATCAAAAGCCTTTTCTGCATCCATTGAGATGATCATATGATTTTTTTATTTTTGTTTTATGTGCTGAATCACACTTACAAATTTGTATAGGTTGAACCAATCCTGCATCCCAGGAATGAAGTCAATTGATTGTGGCAAATTAACTTTTTGATGTGCTGCTGGATTCTGCTTGCTAGTATTTTGTTGAGGACTTTTGTGTCTATATTCATTAGGGATATTGGCCTATAGTTTTTGTTGTTGTTAGGTCTTTGCCAGGTTTTGATATCAGTGTTATATTGGCTTCATAGAATGAGTTCTAAGACGTTCATAGGACTATTTCTTTATTTTTGTCTGACTGGGTTAGTTCAAAAGGTCAGTCTTCAAGCTCTGAAATTTTTCCTTCTGCTTGGTCTGGTCTATTGATAAAACTTTCAATTGTGTTTCGAAATTCTTTAAGTAAGTTTGTCAATTCTAGAAGCTCTGATTGATTTCTTTTTAAAATGTTTATCTCTTCCTTCATTTCCTGGATTGCTTTAGAAGTTTCTTTGTGTAGATTTTCAACCTTGTTTTGTATCTTGCTATGCTTCCTTGCAATCAACGCTTTGAATTCTTCATCTGTCATTTTTCAGTTTCCATTTTGTTTTGGGACCATTGCTGGAGAGCTACTGTGATCTTTTGGTGGCATCACTATAGATTTTTCATGGTGCCAGAATTTTTGTGCTGCTTCCTTCTCATCTGAAGATGGTGGTACTTCTAATTTTTGTAATTACTTTTGTACAGGAAAGATTTTTTGTTTGCTTTCTTCCCCTACAATATTATTGGGTTTTTGTTTTGTTTCCCTTTCCCCCTCTCCCCAGAGGGTGTGATTGCAGAGAAGCCTGGGTAGAATTTTGTGGCTTTGCTTTTATATCCCTACACACTTCTTTTGGCAGGTTTTACATTGGGCTGTGCAGTTTGACCTACAAGCCAGTAAATGATGCATAGAGTTGGGAGCCAGCTGCAGCCCATGTGGCTAGGTATCTACTTGATCCTTGTGTACTGGCAGAAGCTCTCCATCGCCTCAGGCAATGGGCTGATTCATGGAATGCACAGTAGTCTGTGCTCCACACTCAGCCCCAGGGGTGAGGGGGACATCATGGTCCGGGCTGGACCAGGTAGGCCCACTTACAGCTCCCTCAGTGGCAGGTGCAAGCACCTATACAAAGGGAGAATCCAGCAGTGGCCACTAAGCTCCCAGAAGTGTGCCTAGCCATGAAGCTGGGAAACCTCCCCAGCCCCAAGTTCTCTCCATAAGGATGGAGCAGCCTAAACTACTAATCCAGGAGAATGAGTGCTCCAGATCCCCAGAGACCTGCCTGGGTGTGAAGATGAGAGACCCCCCTGCACTAAGATCTCTGTACAGGAAGAGTGAGGTAACTCAAGCTGCTGTACCAAAAAAGTAGGTGCTCTGAATTCCTAGAGATCAGCCTGAGCATGGTGTGGATACAGCCCCACTGCACCAGAATCTATGCCCAGGAAGGGTTGAGCAGCTCAGGCTGCTGAATCTGGTGAATGGGTTCTCTAAATGCCTGGAGATCTGCCTGGGTATGGAGCAGAGAGGGTCCCACTACACCACAATCTCAGAGGAGCAGGATGAGGCACTCTACAATGGCACCTGCAGACCAGTTCCAGTTCACCAAGCTGACCTTGGCTGCAAGTCTCACTGCCCAGAAGAAACTGCAGCTGTAGCAGTTCTCCTCCTGCCCTAGGCCTGCAATGGGGGAAGAGCACAATTCCAGCACCTACTGCTGAGATGCTTTCCACAGTTCTGACTGTGAAGGTCTCTACCTGACTCCAGAATGAGTGCTCCAATCTCTGGCCCAAGACTAAAATGCCTGTGTAGCCACACTGCCAGGTCGCTGAACAATGGCCAACTTTATATGTATCCCCACTAAAAATGGAATCCTGCTCTTGGTTCTGCATCTGGATAAATGTCTGCAGCCTTTCCTGGTATCTTTCCTTCACAGTGTCTTCGACATCTCCCCAGGGATTGGGAGACACAAAGTGCTCTCCCTCAGCCTGGGTTGCTAGGATCCCCAGTGAAAAGGTGAGTCACAGAGGGAGACAGTCTGCCTCTCTCTGGTAGCCAGCAGAGCTGAGGAAAGCTAGTCTTTGAGCCAAAGAAAACATAGAAAAATAGACCCATCAGAGAGTTGGAGAGCCTGGGATGGAGTAGATGTTATGGAAGTGATTAGAGGACACTCTGGAATGAAACAGACCAGCAAAGCCAAGGGATGGTCCTATAGGCAGGCATTTTTCACAATGACTAATCTAGGTATTGAAAGTATATGTTAGTTGACTGCATGCAGGGATCTCTAAAAAGATGTATCTTTAAGATAACAGAGACACTCAGTACCAATACAGATATCTTTCTATATTATCCTTATCTTTATCATCAAGTAAATTTTTTAATTATATAAACTTCTGTTTATGCCCTTCTTTCAAGACACTGCCTCCAAAACCCAACTTCTGGAGAGGCCAGGAGCATTTGTTGTAGGCATGGAGCTCACTGCACTATTTACTGTATGTATTCAGGGTCCTCCAGCCCCCTGCCACCACCCAGCCTTCTTAATGTAACATCTAACCTGTAACTGTTTCTGGAGCCAACACATCCTCAGTTTTGAGCTTTGGCAAAAAAAGTGATACTGAAATCAATAACTTGCCCTGAACTTTCTAACCTCTCTTCCCACTTGCAGATGTTTGCTTTTCACATAAGGATGATCTCTTTTGTAACTGTGATCTGTTTTCACCCTTGACCAGCTTATGCTGTTCTTGACAGCATCTTCTCACTCACACATCATAAGAAGGAGGAAGAAAAAAAAAGGAGGAAGAAGAGAAGAGGAGGAGGAGAGGGAAAGGGAGGAGGAGAGAAAAGAGAGATAAAATTAAAAAGCTTCCCAGGGACTGAGGAAAATCTCCCTGGTTAAATTTCTCAAGAAAACTTTAAACCAGTTCAGTTTCAAAAATAAGGTTAATGTTACGGTCTTTGGAATTGGAAGATGTTTCCTTAAGGAATGAGGGAAGGAACAAATCTCCACCTCATCATTTGTGCAGACAGTTGTTTCTTCAGGAAATACCTCTTTAGGTAGCTCCCCATTCCCTACCCTCAGGATGGACCCTACATCCTGTCTCTCACTAGTCAGTGGACTGGAGCAGAAGTTGACCATGAGGCACTGATTAAGCTGACTGAGTCCTCTCTTCCAGCTATCTAGAATTGAGATTGATGTTAGCCTGTACCTGTTGCTGCCTGAACTAAGGAAACCTGCTGGGAGGCCTGAAGTAGCCACATTCTTACACACACACACACCAAAAAGTGGATGGATTATTATGCAGAGAAGAAAGTTGAAGATGTTGTGCCAAAAGAATAATAGATAAGAGACCCCAGAGAAGTGAACCCAGAAAAAGGCAAAGATAGCCCAGAGAGAGGCAGAAATGGGCACACCTGACTAAACTGTCTGCCACAAGACAGACTTGCACTTCCAATTATATTTCCCTTTGGCTCAACTAGGTTTTGTATTTCTTCTTTCTCTCCATGAAAGCATCCCCTACTACGTTTTAAAGTGGCAGCCATTCCCTAGGGTGTACTCACTGTTCAGCTACAGACACCTTTTCCTGAAAATGTTAGCACCCAGTTTAGGTAAACACTCCTCCTCCATGGTTTTCAACCAGATTATGAGCAGCCTGAACACAGCTATTAAGTCCTTTTCACATCAAGACCAGCATAGTGCTCAGTAGTGTCCTTGCGGCTTAATTCAGTTGCAATGATGGGTTTACAACTCCTCAGGGTCAGAAGAGGCAATTGCAGGTCTCAACATACCCCAGAGTCATTTGCCTTCTAATTAAAGTGTGAACTAAAGGATATCTTCCCTATGCTTTAATAGAAAAGGAGCTATTTTGATAATTTATATATCAAAATAATTAGGAGAAGTAAATCTTTCTCTAGGACACATGAGTAATCAAGTAAACACCATAGCTTTCTTAGAGGCAATAGTTATTCCTATAATTTTTCTGTCAACTTATTCCTTCTTTGGAATTTGGCTATGCTATTAGCAATGAAAGAAGTATTAGAATTGGATAAGATTTAAAAAAATTTTAAAAACCTTTAAGTGTGAGTGAATCGATATTATTATGAAAAAACTGGTATTTTTTAACAAAACCATTCTGTAACATTGCGTGATAAATGAACATGAAGTACCACTGTTACTTTCTCTCAGAGTTTTCCAGTGCCAGTCTCTCATAGAAAATTCACATTGTGTTTCATGCTATATATGGCAAAAAGAGATAGAAGATTTTTTTTTCTCTTGAAAGTCACTGTTCCACAGAAAAAGCACCAACATAATCAAAATTCACTTTACAGTTGCTTTTCAACCCCTGCCTCTCTGCTTCCCTGGCTCATGGCAGCTGCAGCCTCATCCTGACATTTTCTTGCAGTTTTGTTTTTCATCCTGTCTCCTGAAAAGACAGGAGACACACATACTGCCAGTATTCTTACATGTACTGCATGGGCGTGTTGTATGCAAACTTCATTGTACATAAATATTTGTGTTTTCTTTTTTTTTCATTTGTTATTTTTTTATTATTATAGTTTAAGTTTTAGGGTACATGTGCACATTGTGCAGGTTAGTTACATATGTATACATGTGCCATGCTGGTGCGCTGCACCCACTAACTCGTCATCTAGCATTAGGTATATCTCCCAATGCTATCCCTCCCCCCTCCCCCCACCCCACCACAGTCCCCAGAGTGTGATATTCCCCTTCCTGTGTCCATGTGATCTCATTGTTCAATTCCCACCTATGAGTGAGAATATGCGGTGTTTGGTTTTTTGATCTTGCGATAGTTTACTGAGAATGATGATTTCCAATTTCATCCATGTCCCTACAAAGGACATGAACTCATCATTTTTTATGGCTGCATAGTATTCCATGGTGTATATGTGCCACATTTTCTTAATCCAGTCTATCATTGTTGGACATTTGGGTTGGTTCCAAGTCTTTGCTATTGTGAATAATGCCGCAATAAACATACGTGTGCATGTGTCTTTATAGCAGCATGATTTATAGTCCTTTGGGTATATACCCAGTAATGGGATGGCTGGGTCCAATGGTATTTCTAGTTCTAGATCCCTGAGGAATCGCCACACTGACTTCCACAATGGTTGAACTAGTTTACACTCCCACCAACAGTGTAAAAGTGTTCCTATTTCTCCACATCCTCTCCAGCACCTGTTGTTTCCTGACTTTTTAATGATTGCCATTCTAACTGGTGTGAGATGGTATCTCATGGTGGTTTTGATTTGCATTTCTCTGATGGCCAGTGATGATGAGCATTTTTTCATGTGTTTTTTGGCTGCATAAATGTCTTCTTTTGAGAAGTGTCTGTTCATGTCCTTCGCCCACTTTTTGATGGGGTTGTTTGTTTTTTTCTTGTAAATTTGTTTGAGTTCATTGTAGATTCTGGATATTAGCCCTTTGTCAGATGAGTAGGTTGCAAAAATTTTCTCCCATGTTGTAGGTTGCCTGTTCACTCTGATGGTAGTTTCTTTTGCTGTGCAGAAGCTCTTTAGTTTAATTAGATCCCATTTGTCAATGTTGTCTTTTGTTGCCATTGCTTTTGGTGTTTGGGACACGAAGTCCTTGCCCATGCCTATGTCCTGAATGGTAATGCCTAGGTTTTCTTCTAGGGTTTTTATGGTTTTAGGTCTAACATTTAAATCTTTAATCCATCTTGAATTGATTTTTGTATAAGGTGCAAGGAAGGGATCCAGTTTCAGCTTCCTACATATGGCTAGCCAGTTTTCCCAGCACCATTTATTAAATAGGGAATCCTTTCCCCATTGCTTGTTTTTCTCAGGTTTGTCAAAGATCAGATAGTTGTAGGTATGCGGCGTTATTTCTGAGGGCTCTGTTCTGTTCCATTGATCTATATCTCCGTTTTGGTACCAGTACCATGCTGTTTTGGTTACTGTAGCCTTGTAGTATAGTTTGAAGTTAGGTAGCGTGATGCCTCCAGCTTTGTTCTTTTGGCTTAGGATTGCCTTGGCAATGCAGGCTCTTTTTTGGTTCCATATGAACTTTAAAGTAGTTTTTTCCAATTCTGTGAAGAAAGTCATTGGTAGCTTGATGGGGATGGCATTGAATCTGTAAATTACCTTGGGCAGTATGGCCATTTTCACGATATTGATTCTTCCTACCCATGAGCATGGAATGTTCTTCCATTTGTTTGTATCCTCTTTTATTTCCTTGAGCAGTGGTTTGTAGTTCTCCTTGAAGAGGTCCTTCACATCCCTTGTAAGTTGGATTCCTAGGTATTTTATTCTCTTTGAAGCAATTGTGAATGGGAGTTCACTCATGATTTGGCTCTCTGTTTGTCTGTTGTTGGTGTATAAGAATGCTTGTGATTTTTGTACATTGATTTTGTATCCTGAGACTTTGCTGAAGTTGCTTATCAGCTTAAGGAGATTTTGGGCTGAGACAGTGGGGTTTTCTAGATATACAATCATGTCGTCTGCAAACAGGGACAATTTGACTTCCTCTTTTCCTAATTGAATACCCTTTATTTCCTTCTCCTGCCTAATTGCCCTGGCCAGAACTTCCAACACTATGTTGAATAGGAGTGGTGAGAGAGGGCATCCCTGTCTTGTGCCAGTTTTCAAAGGGAATGCTTCCAGTTTTTGCCCATTCAGTATGATATTGGCTGTGGGTTTGTCATAGATACCTCTTATTATTTTGAAATACGTCCCATCAATACCTAATTTATTGAGAGTTTTTAGCATGAAGGGTTGTTGAATTTTGTCAAAGGCTTTTTCTGCATCTATTGAGATAATCATGTGGTTTTTGTCTTTGGTTCTGTTTATATGCTGGATTACATTTATTGATTTGCGTATATTGAACCAGCCTTGCATCCCAGGGATGAAGCCCACTTGATCATGGTGGATAAGCTTTTTGATGTGCTGCTGGATTCGGTTTGCCAGTATTTTATTGAGGATTTTTGCATCAATGTTCATCAAGGATATTGGTCTAAAATTCTCTTTTTTGGTTGTGTCTCTGCCCGGCTTTGGTATCAGAATGATGCTGGCCTCATAAAATGAGTTAGGGAGGATTCCCTCTTTTTCTATTGATTGGAATAGTTTCAGAAGGAATGGTACCAGTTCCTCCTTGTACCTCTGGTAGAATTTGGCTGTGAATCCATCTGGTCCTGGACTCTTTTTGGTTGGTAAGCTATTGATTATTGCCACAATTTCAGATCCTGTTATTGGTCTATTCAGAGATTCAACTTCTTCCTGGTTTAGTCTTGGGAGGGTGTATGTGTCAAGGAATTTATCCATTTCTTCTAGATTTTCTAGTTTATTTGCGTAGAGGTGTTTGTAGTATTCTCTGATGGTAGTTTGTATTTCTGTGGGATCGGTGGTGATATCCCCATTATCATTTTTTATTGTGTCTATTTGATTCTTCTCTCTTTTTTTCTTTATTAGTCTTGCTAGCGGTCTATCAATTTTGTTGATCCTTTCAAAAAACCAGCTCCTGGATTCATTGATTTTTTGAAGGGTTTTTTGTGTCTCTATTTCCTTCAGTTCTGCTCTGATTTTAGTTATTTCTTGCCTTCTGCTAGCTTTTGAATGTGTTTGCTCTTGCTTTTCTAGTTCTTTTAATTGTGATGTTAGGGTGTCAATTTTGGATCTTTCCTGCTTTCTCTTGTGGGCATTTAGTGCTATAAATTTCCCTCTACACACCGCTTTGAATGCGTCCCAGAGATTCTGGTATGTTGTGTCTTTGTTCTCGTTGGTTTCAAAGAACATCTTTATTTCTGCCTTCATTTTGTTATGTACCCAGTAGTCATTCAGGAGCAGGTTGTTCGGTTTCCATGTAGTTGAGCGGCTTTGAGTGGGATTCTTAATCCTGAGTTCTAGTTTGATTGCACTGTGGTCTGAAAGATAGTTTGTTATAATTTCTGTTCTTTTACATTTGCTGAGGAGAGCTTTACTTCCAACTATGTGGTCAATTTTGGAATAGGTGTGGTGTGGTGCTGAAAAAAATGTATATTCTCTTGATTTGGGGTGGAGAGTTCTGTACATGTCTATTAGGTCCGCTTGGTGCAGAGCTGAGTTCAATTCCTGGGTATCCTTGTTGACTTTCTGTCTCGTTGATCTGTCTAATGTTGACAGTGGGGTGTTAAAGTCTCCCATTATTAATGTGTGGGAGTCTAAGTCTCTTTGTAGGTCACTCAGGACTTGCTTTATGTATCTGGGTGCTCCCGTATTGGGTGCATATATATTTAGGATAGTTAGCTCTTCTTGTTGAATTGATCCCTTTACCATTATGTAATGGCCTTCTTTGTCTCTTTTGATCTTTGTTGGTTTAAAGTCTGTTTTATCAGAGACTAGGATTGCAACCCCTGCCTTTTTTTGTTTTCCATTTGCTTGGTAGATCTTCCTCCATCCTTTTATTTTGAGCCTATGTGTGTCTCTGCATGTGAGATGGGTTTCCTGAATACAGCACACTGATGGGTCTTGACTCTTTATCCAATTTGCCAGTCTGTGTCTTTTAATTGGAGAATTTAGTCCATTTATATTTAAAGTTAATATTGTTATGTGTGAATTTGATCCTGTCATTATGATGTTAGCTGGTGATTTTGCTCGTTAGTTGATGCAGTTTCTTCCTAGTCTCGATGGTCTTTACATTTTGGCATGATTTTGCAGCGGCTGGTACCGGTTGTTCCTTTCCATGTTTAGCGCTTCCTTCAGGAGCTCTTTTAGGGCAGGCTTGGTGGTGACAAAATCGGTCAGCATTTGCTTGTCTGTAAAGTATTTTATTTCTCCTTCACTTATGAAGCTTAGTTTGGCTGGATATGAAATTCTGGGTTGAAAATTCTTTTCTTTAAGAATGTTGAATATTGGCCCCCACTCTCTTCTGGCTTGTAGGGTTTCTGCCGAGAGATCCGCTGTTAGTCTGATGGGCTTCCCTTTGAGGGTAACCCGACCTTTCTCTCTGGCTGCCCTTAACATTTTTTCCTTCATTTCAACTTTGGTGAATCTGACAATTATGTGTCTTGGAGTTGCTCTTCTCGAGGAGTATCTTTGTGGCATTCTCTGTATTTCCTGAATCTGAACGTTGGCCTGCCTTGCTAGATTGGGGAAGTTCTCCTGGATAGTATCCTGCAGAGTGTTTTCCAACTTGGTTCCATTCTCCCCATCACTTTCAGGTACACCAATCAGAGGTAGATTTGGTCTTTTCACATAGTCCCATATTTCTTGGAGGCTTTGCTCATTTCTTTTTATTCTTTTTTCTCTAAACTTCCCTTCTTGCTTCATTTCATTCATTTCATCTTCCATTGCTGATACCCTTTCTTCCAGTTGATCGCATCGGCTCCTGAGGCTTCTGCATTCTTCACATAGTTCTCGAGCCTTGGTTTTCAGCTCCATCAGCTCCTTTAAGCACTTCTCTGTATTGGTTATTCTAGTTATACATTCTTCTAAATTTTTTTCAAAGTTTTCAACTTCTTTGCCTTTGGTTTGAATGTCCTCCCGTAGCTCAGAGTAATTTGATCGTCTGAAGCCTTCTTCTCTCAGCTCATCAAAGTCATTCTCCATCCAGCTTTGTTCTGTTGCTGGTGAGGAACTGCGTTCCTTTGGAGGAGGAGAGACGCTCTGTATTTTAGAGTTTCCAGTTTTTCTGTTCTGTTTTTTCCCCATCTTTGTGGTTTTATCTACTTTTGGTCTTTGATGATGGTGATGTACAGATGGGTTTTCGGTGTGGATGTCCTTTCTGTTTGTTAGTTTTCCTTCTAACAGACAGGACCCTCAGCTGCAGGTCTGTTGGAATACCCGGCCGTGTGAGGTGTCAGTGTGCCCCTGCTGGGGGGTGCCTCCCAGTTAGGCTGCTCGGGGGTCAGGGGTCAGGGACCCACTTGAGGAGGCAGTCTGCCCGTTCTCAGATCTCCAGCTGCGTGCTGGGAGAACCACTGCTCTCTTCAAAGCTGTCAGACAGGGACATTTAAGTCTGCAGAGGTTACTGCTGTCTTTTTGTTTGTCTGTGCCCTGCCGCCAGAGGTGGAGCCTACAGAGGCAGGCAGGTCTCCTTGAGCTGTGGTGGGCTCCGCCCAGTTCGAGCTTCCCGGCTGCTTTGTTTACCTAAGCAAGCCTGGGCAATGGCGGGCGCCCCTCCCCCAGCCTCGCTGCCGCCTTGCAGTTTGATCTCAGACTGCTGTGCTAGCAATCAGCGAGACTCCGTGGGCGTAGGACCCTCCGAGACAGGTGCGGCATATAGTCTCGTGGTGCGCCGTTTTTTAAGCCGGTCTGAAAAGCGCAATATTCGGGTGGGAGTGACCCGATTTTCCAGGTGCGTCCGTCACCCCTTTCTTTGACTCGCAAAGGGAACTCCCTGACCCCTTGCGCTTCCCAGGTGAGGCAATGCCTCGCCCTGCTTCGGCTCGCGCACGGTGCGCACACCCACTGGCCTGCGCCCACTGTCTGGCACTCCCTAGTGAGATGCACCCGGTACCTCAGATGGAAATGCAGAAATCACCCGTCTTCTGCGTCGCTCACGCTGGGAGCTGTAGACCGGAGCTGTTCCTATTCGGCCATCTTGGCTCCTCCTCCAATATTTGTGTTTTCATGGGCTGAGTTTCCACACTTTGCATCAGAATCTTAACTAATAATAATTGCCAACATTTACTTCAAAATTAGCACACACCAAGCACTAAGCACTTTACATATGTTACCTTGTTTAATCTTCAAAGTATTCCTACAGATAAGTATTATTATTATGTCCATTTTGTAGGGAAGGAAACTAAAACATAAAAAAGTTAGTAACTTAAGAAAAGTACAAACAAGGCTTGACAGTGCTGAATCCAGAATAGAAACCCCAGCAGTCTGACACCTCACCCCAGGCTATATTTTGAATGACTTGGCTTTTTCTGGCTTCCTTAAAGGGTCCCTGATATACAATTAAAATATCAAAGCAGACCTGGAATTTGGAGCTGCCAGGCCTGACCTCTTGCCAATGATAGGACACTCAAATCACAGCTTTGCCTTTTCTTCTTTTTTACACGCACACACATGTGCAAATACATACACAGGCACTCGTAATAAAATGTGCCTTCACTAACACAATGCTAATTCATGACTTCTGGATTTATTTCTGTGAAATGATGAGTTTAAGGCCATACATTGAATTGATGGTTTTGTCTAGGTGCTTACAGGGATTTTTAATAGTTATAATGAATTTCATATGAATGATTAGAACCTTGATTACCTTCTTGAATCAGAAGTAACTTAATATTTGGAATAAACTCTAGAGTGTTAGTTCAAAGAAATACTTATTCTGTCATTAAAAGTTATACTCTGAAGAACTGTTTGCTCCTATAAGAAATGTTCTTGGTATCTTTATAGGTATGGAGAAAAAGCAGGACATGAAAATTATTTGCCTAGCATCATTTTATCAAATTATTAAACTAAAAAGAAAATATGTTTACGTAAGAAATCTTGAAGACTGAAAAATGCAAATTTTTTCTGTATCTATCTTAAAAGATGTAATAAAGTATAGCATATTTCAGGACATAAGTGTGTAGATGAAAGACTGGTAAATGTTTCCTACCTAAAAAAAACTGATTCTGGTTATCAGATAGTGACAGATGCTGAGCCCAACAATTTTACATTTATCAATTTACCTAAGTCTCATACAATCCTATGGGGCAGGTATTAGTTTTCTCCTTTTATAAATGAGGGAAAAAAAAGACCCAGAAAATAAAAGGCTTGTACATTATCACTCAGCTGCAATAGAGACCTCTCTTAACTTCAAAGCTTTAAATAAGGTTGACACATCCAAGTTCCTCCCACTAAGCAAATGGCAATTCCCACACTGCCGGCAACCTGGTAGCACCCGCCTCAAGATCTCAACAAGCTCTAACCTTGCTCCGACCACCTAAGTACTCACGAGACCAAGATTCCCCTCTAGCCCCCCAGCATCTTCCGTGGCCCAGATCCAGCTGGTCAAGACCCAGTTTTCCCCGCTCAGATCACCCCAGTCATAGCAATCAATCTGCTTAGAACCCCTCCTTCTCCCATGAAGGGCTTTCCAAAAGTGACTGTTTTTTGTTTGTTTGTTTTTTTAAACAAGTCTCACATCTTTCTCCAAGAACTCTCCTAGATACTTACATAATGTTTGCTACGGGCTCAGGAGCATAACCCAGGGTGCAGCTGATCTGTGATAGACTCCCAACTGCTATTATTCTATTTTCTAGCTGTCACAGTACCTCACATTGCCCAGGTGACAGGAAGTTTCTAGAGACATGTATTCTTCAGGTTCCTCTTGCCATCAATAAATACTCTCCCTCTTGAACTGATGGCTAAATTAATACCAGTTTGCTATGAGAGACAGAGAGAGAGATGGAGAAGGAGAAGGAGGAGGAGGAAGACAAGAAGAAGGAAGAAGAGGAGGCAAAGGAACAAGAAGAAGGAGAAGAGGAGGAAGGGGAAGGAAAAGGGAAGGAAGGAGGAGTGCAGTGGCAAAATGATGGCTCACTGCAGCCTAGAACTCCTGAGTTCAAGCAGTCCTCCTACCTAGGCCTCCTGAGTCACTGGGATTACAGGTCACTAGCTTTCTTCATTAGACTTTTATTTGGGGAAGGGGGCAATCACTTAACAAGCAGAGTCTGACATTTGCTTGCTAGATACTTAGAGAAAATTCATTCATCTGAAGAAAGCTCAACCAATCGCTTCCCCCATTACGTCAACATCAGTGCAGATATAATTGTCATCCTTACAGTTTATTCAGGGACCAGAAAGGTATCTGGCACAGTTACCCCCTTTATAAAATCATATTTTATATTGCTTTTATAATATTCTGCGCTGGTGAAAATCAGCACTTGCATTTGTGGACATAAATCAGCTAGATAATTGAGATCTGAAAAACAGGCTTTGGACCTTGCCAAATCAATCAGTAACTGAGACTCAAGGTATGCTTTGGGATCATTTGTCTGGGTAATTCTAACAAAAGCAACAAAATCCAAACAGATCGCAGGGAAGTTAATAAAGAACTCAAAGTGGGCCTATCCATGCACCATGGAACCAACCACAACCAAAAATAAAAAGTCAAATGAAACAGAATAAGATAAAGGAACAAGAACTCCAGCTCCAACAAAGGCAAACATCTTAGGATTCTGGTGCATGTCTGTCCCATCTTTCCTGCCTCACTGCAGCATCTACATAGTTTCTGACTCCCTTAGATCTCCCTCTCATTCTCTGTCATACACTTGGTTTTTCTACTTGAAGACACAAAGGTGGTGTTCCCAGTTTTGGCCTTTGATGCTCTTTACATAGAAATTTTACAAATTTTCCGAATTTTCAAGTCTGTAGTTATTCCCAGTAACCCCCCGCCCCCCACCCCCACCCCTTGATGTGACCTCACTCCCTTCAACTCCAGGAATCTCCAGGGGGATCACCTCCTCCATCAGTGTTCCTCTATCAAGCTACTGTCAAGCCATATTCCAGCCTTAGTTTACAACTTACCCATAATAGGGGATGAATAAAGCTGCTTAAAATATTCTAGACCTAAGGTACTGGGGGCTATGTGAATGATTAATGTGGCACAATAAGATAATGGCTTATTCAGACTTAGCATTTGGATTCTGTTCTCAGCCAAGAACTACCTCCTGTTTGTTCCCACTAAATGTCCATTGTAATTTCTGAACATCGTGGAAAACTCAGGTTTTTCTAGGATACGTGTATAGCCTAGAAGCCACAGAACATTTATCCACTAAATCAGCCATGGCCGCATTAATCACACTGTCTCTCAAGAAACCCTAAGAACACCTTACACCGAATACATTTGGAAGGCATGGCACCAACTATTTTATGCCACCTCTGCTTCAAATCTAGTCCAAGGCATCTTGCCAAGTGGTGCTGGAAAAGGTATTCCACAACCAGGGATTGCTTTGCACGCTCAACTCTGAGAAGGAAAATTTGAAACTGCAGGAGCCACTTAGGAAAGCAGATCTAACTGGGAGACCTGAAATGTGGCCAGGTCAACTGTGCCATTCCCAAGGCTCAAGAACGCTGGCTTCATTCTCATCCAACTGGCACCAGCTCACAGAAGACAGGCCACTTACCAGCAAATAAAGGAACAGATTTATTCTTCCTGCCCCCTAAGAGGAACAGCTGCACCTGAACAAACTTGCAAGGTTAGGTTCGCATGTGGTTTATGAAAACCTTCCCCGACTCCCACTCCTAACAAAGGCTGAAGACAAATCTAAGCCAGGCTTTCTGGCTTTGGCCCACTGCTCCATGTGACAGCTCCTTGCACCTGGTTCTCTAACCTCATCATTTAACGGCCCCAACAAGGTCCACTTCAGGACAGGAAAAAGAAGTTCTCACACATCTCTCGTTGCATCGATGCTAGTTCCTTTTGCACCTGGGATCTCCTTAGGGGCCTCTTAATCGAAGTCTGACTAAGCCTGACCTTGCCTTGGTTTATGAGGGTAATGAAATTACAGCCCCAGGTGGGACGGCTGCAGGTGCACGTGCTCGGCCATTCGGAGCCTTGTTATTTCTGTAATTTGTCACATGCTGTCTCCTGCTCGAGGTTGTACTTAACAACCTAATGAATTCGTTCTCTTATTAAGACAAATCTTGTCCTTGCCATTCCAATTAAATCTATAAAATTAGCCTGGAAATTTTAGAAAAGTGGGCTGCAATGCAGCTGCTTTTCTTTCTTTCCTTCTTTTTCTCTATTTTAAGTTGTTGGACCAGGACTGATTACGATCTGGAAAGCGGGTGGAAAGAACAACTAGCTGGGGGACAGAAGACCTAGGTTTTATTCCAATTCTGTTACGTGATCTTGAACACGTTTCCCCTCCTCCATGGGTGTTGGTCCCTTGACAATAAAATTAATGGTTTGAACATATCAGTGTGGATAATACTTTTTCATTTATTGAGTTACCTTACTACATGCCAAACATCTGCATGAAAACTTGCAAGGTGGACGGAATTGTGTAGATTGTATGAATACAGTCATCACACTTCAGAAAACGTGAATGTTGCACCTAAGGCCAAACAGTGAAGATGGTGATATATGACTCCAAAGCCCATTCATACACTTCCAAACAGACAGCCTACACTCTTTTACAGACTATGAATCTTGGGGTAAAATTTGTAAGTGGCTGAAGTTAGTTACAGGTCACAAGGCTGAGTTCCATGTATAGCTCAGTTACTGACTCAGAGATCCTAGACAAGTTTATTAACTCATTGTCAACCACTGCCGTAGCTAATCTTTCCTTCTCACTCAGTGCTCAGAGAATGCAAGTTAACATGAAGGGTGTACTTTAAACTCTGCCAAAACATAGGCACAAGAAAAACTGACATAGAGAAAAATGTTATACTTTCATCTAAAAGGGAGGAGAAAAATAATGGGTTTTCTGAATACAAAATACTGATCCCCGATGTGAACCTCACACTGCTGTTAATAATATCTACCAAGCTCTGGGTTTCACCAGTGTTTATGAAGAAATTTTTTCAATGAAAAATGGGATCATAGGTAAACTTGAGAATCAGCAAATGGAGAGCTTGGTGTATATTCTCAGTGAAAATACATTTTTCTGGTGGGTTCCCCATAGCAGATTAAAATTCCATTCGATATCTAATAAAATTATAAGTCTAATGTAGAAACACAGAAATCAGTTCTTTCATTTTCAGAGAGGTTTCTTTTAGCAATTATTTGTTCAAAGATTTAATTCAAACAACAAGTTACTATTACTTGAAGAAAAATGAAGTGATCTATCCTTGGGTAGGGCATTTGTCTGCCTATGTGGAAACAATAACAAAATATCAGTTTCTTTCTTTACTTATTTCTTATGCCTTTACTCTGGTGAAACAACACATACAGAAAAGTACCCCAAAAATGTTCAGATCTATAATTTCTAAAACCACCACACAGATTAGGAAATAAATGGAACATTACCAACATTCTTGAAGCCTCCATATACTTAATCCCAGTAAACAGCCCCTCCCTGCCCTCCAAAAGTAACCAATATATTTTCTTTTTAAAGTAACATTTACTAGCAACTTTCCAGTTTACTGCCCAAAGCATGCCATTCCCTGTTTTCGTGAACTTCATATAAATGGGCTCATATAGTATATATTCTTTTATACCCGAACTCTTCAATAAAAAATGTGTTCGTGATATATACCCATGTTGTATGATGCTGTATTTTGTTCATTTTCATTTCTCTGTAGTGTTACATTGTATGTATATATACTATATGCATAAATAAACCAAATGTACCTCTCTACTGTTGATAAACATTGGAGTTATTTGTACATTGGGCTTTTATAATGTTTCAATAAGCAGTCTTGCATGTTTCTCTTGCGTACCTTGGTATATATTTATGTTCATATCTAAAAGTAAAATTGCTAGGTCATAGGATTTACATATCTTAACTTTAATAAAGACTGCCAAAACATTTTCAATACCAACTTAACTCCTACTGACAATGAATGATTGAAAGTTCTCCTTGTTCCACATGCCCAATATATGGTATTATCTATCTTTTGCATGTTCACCATTCTGGCAGCTGTGTAGTGACATCCTATACTTTAAATAAGCATTTTCCTGAAAACTAATGAAGTTGAGAAACTTTTTATGTATTTGCTGGCCATTTGGATGCCTATGATCCACCTGAAATTAATTGTTGTATATGTCCTAAGATAGAGATAAATTTCTTTCTTATAAACATCCACTTACTTTGACAGCATTTATTGAAAAGATCCTTTCTCCACTGTTCTAAAGTGATACCTTTACTATGAACCATTTGTCCATATACATATGGGTCTATTCCTGGGATTTCTTTTATATACCATTGGCTGACTTGTCTATCCTCCTATTATTGCATCGGTATCTCAGTGTTTCATTTACTATATAATTATAATGACCTTTGATAAGTGGTAGAGCAAATCCCCCTACTTGTTTTTATCCTTTAAGCTTTGACTATTCATAGCCCTTTGCAAGAACTGTCTTATCAAGTGCCACTAAAACCAAATAAAATCTGATAAAATTTTGAGTGGGATTGCATTGATCTAGCATCAACTATCCAGAATTAGTTTAGGGACTATTAGAACCTGGAACTTCCTGGCAAGTTCATCACTCTTTAATTTCTGTCAGAAATGTTTTATAGTTTTCTGTGTAGTGATGTTGGCTGTATGTTCAATTTACTCCAAGGTAGATAATCTTTTGATACATGTAGAATGCATCTTTTAAATTTTTGCATTTTCTGTTGTTATAATATAGAAATGCAATTTCTACATTGGCCTTTCATTTAGCAAATGTGCTAAGCTCAGTTATTAATCTTATGAAATCCTTTCACACCACCCACTGTCCACAGCAAGGAACCTCCTAGCTGTAGTTCTGAAAGAGGTCCCAAATACTAGGCTCAGTTCTCTGGGCTTCCATCTTTCTCCAAGTCCTGGCCCTCACTGCCAATGTTTGTCAGTGTTTATCAATTCCTTCCAATAAACTTTTTTTAAAGCATTATATAGCTTTTCTGCTTGCCCTCAGTAAGATGGTTAATCTGAATTATCTAACTTTTTATTGCTAAAATTAATATCAAGTTTTCAACACAAAACATTTCAAACGTAAACACAGAAAGGTTCTTCTCATTAAACTACTCTTAAGGTTAAATTCTCCCTTAGGTCTAAAGTTTGTTGAAATGGGAGATGGGTGGAAAAAAATGGAGAATGAAGTCAAAACTTTTAAATCAGTTTCCGTGCTATTTACAATAGATTAAAAGGAAAAATCATTACATAAAAGGAAACCATTTTTGCTAGTTTGTGACATGTTATTTTAATCAATAAAAACATAAAACTACTGTGTTAATAAAATAAATATCAATTAATAAAAGATTAATTGTTCTAAATTAAAATTGCTATTCATATACATTTGGGTATAGAGCCAGTGATTCAATCTCTCTCTCCCTCTCTCTCCTCTCCCTCCCTCTCTCTCTGTGTATATAATATGTATATAGACACACACACATATACAGTGTCATTTGATATATATACACACACATACATATAAGATGTATATTATATATGCACACATTATATAATGATCTTTCTGTGTGTGTATATAGTGTATATATAGAATGTGTGTATATACACAGTATCTATACATACAGTGTGTGTATACACAGTGTATGTGGGTGTGTGTAAATGTATACACACATATAAATACATACAAAATTTTTTGATATGTTTACCAACTTAAGAGGCATGGGATATGGTCTGACTTTATTTCTTAAAAATATTCATTGTTATGCCCTATAGTTATGTCAAATGACACGTTGCTGTTAATATGAAGAGCAGAGTAGTCCAATAATACGCATAAACATACTCAAGGGATTAGGAGGAATCCTACTATACTTATTTTCCTTCTTGGCTTAGGTTTTTTGATTCAGATTTTCAACATCAAAAGGGCAATTCCATTTCTGTGATTATTTCTGAGCAAAATAGTAATTATACAAGCCAGATTTTACCTGAGAAAATTTGTAGAAAATTTAATATTACTATTTAGATCCTGAATGCTTGACTTAATATTACTAGTTAGATCCTGAATGCTCAAAATGTAGCTGGTTTCTTTAAAGCATGGAGCATAAGTAAGTAATTATAAGGGACATTTCTAAAATGAGAAATTTTCAAAAATCATTTCTTTTGTCATGCCCTACTACTTTAAAATGTGCCAAAAATCCAAAAGCAATTGATTAAAGAGGCAGAATATGAACATTAAGGACAAATAGGAATTTGGTGGGCCTTTAGGACCAAAGAAATTTTAATAAATTGTCTTTTGTTAAAGAAGTTGAAGAAATAAATAAAAATAAGCTTCCTAAGGGATAAATGAGAAATACAAAGGTTCAATAATTGGGAGAAAATAGAGCTATGCAAGGACTGGGATTCCTGATGAAGCTAAAGAATGGCTGTAGTGTAGGAGGCTGAAGAAGATACCAGCCAGGCACAGTGACTCACGCCTGTAATCCCAGCAGTTTGGGAGGCCAAGGCGGGTGGATCACCTGAGGTCGAGAGTTCGACACCAGCCTGACCAATGTGGAGAAACCCCCACCTTTAATAAAAATACAAAATTAGCTGGGCGTGGTGGTGCATGCCTGTAATCCCAGCTACTTGGGAGGCTGAGGCAGGAGAATCACTTGAACCCAGGAGGCGGAGGTTGCGGTGAACCGAGATTGCACCATTGCACTCCAACCTGGGCAAAAAGAGTGAAACTCTGCCTCAAAAAAAAACAAAAGAAGATACCTGGGACAAAGGGAGCTGTGGGCCAAGCACGGGCTCATTGAATGTTGCCCACGGAGGTGAGACAGCTGTGGATGATGAGGGCCAAGGCATGATGGGGGTACAGGTGCAATGCAGAAGGTCAAAGACATGAGAGACCATGCTGTGGAGTTACCCAGTTAATTATCATGGCAGGGACTAGGGAAGAAAGATTTTGAGTCAGGTGCCAAATTCCCCAATACATGAGTGAGGACAACAAAAGGGCTGGAAAATAACAGTAAAGCTACAAAGAGGTAGTTATAACTCAATGGCCTAAGCCCCCAGAAATAAAACTAAGATTTTGTTTATATTCTTAAATATTTTCTCAATGCAATAAAAAATGTCTAAATTTAGGCAAGACATTCTCCCAAAGTGAGTACTAGTTGAGGAAAATACTGCCTGCTCTAAAATAGTTTCTCCCACAATCACATGGTAGAAAAGATGTTTAACAAGCTGGTCACATTAAGGAATGTACCAGAGGCTGCTGGTATACCAACAGCAAACCAGGCCAATGGCAGCAACCCACCTCATATGTCAGCAATAATACAACATAAAGCTTTACTGACAAAATCAGGAGAGGGGCTGGATTTGACCCGTGGGCCATAGTTTGTCAAACCCTGATCTCACTTGTCATTAGATGTCCCAACTCAGGTTTTACAAGAATCTATGCAGAAGTTTCATCTTCTCTTATAGCCACTTTGTAAGTGAAGGAAATGGAGCTATTTCTCTTATGTCTAAATAAATTATAGGTTTAGGCCGGGCATGGTGACTCACACCTATAATCCCAGCACTTTGTGAGGCCAAGATGGGTGGATCACTTGAGGCCAGGAGTTCAAGACCACCCTGGCCAACATGGCAAAGCCCTGTCTCTATTAAAAATGCAAAAAAAAAATTAGCTAGGAGTGGTGGTGCATGCCTGCAATCTCAGCTACTTGGGAGGCTAAGGCAGGAGAACTGCCTGAACCCAGGAGACAGAGGTTCCAGTGAGCCAAGATTGCACCATTGCACTCCAGCCTGGGTGACAGAGTAAGAGTCTGTCTCAAAAAAATAAAATAATACGTTTAGATAATCCAATCAATCAACTAATAGGGTTTTTGGGAAAAAAGAAACCTGCAAAGTGGGCAGACATAAGTTGAATCCCAAAGCTGAATTTGAATTTTGAGTTTTTCCGGTGACTACAGTGTCCTTAAATGTAATGCCCAAGAGATTTAGTGTGGTGGTGAATGTCAAATCACAGCTTTCAAGCAAACAACTCTTCACACCTGTATTTCTTGTTGTATACTAATCTTCCCAGTCTAGAAAATGATTCCTTAAGACAGTTGGTGTTTCACTGAGGCTCTTAGCTTCTTGTCTTCGGATAGAAGCTAAGTCCTTGCATATCTGAGGGTGTCACCTTCTACCTGGAAACCAGGGCTGGTTAGAAGGCTCCCAGTCTTGTTGCTTTGGGGTATCAGTTCTAAATGCTTAAACAAATGGGTCATGAGACTGAAATGAGGTCTGTAACATCTTTGGAGGCACACTCCCTTCTGATAGATGAGCTGAAATGAAAATCATTTTAGAGCCTCCTTTCAGCAGAATAATAAATTCTGTGTTTCCAATCATGAAAATTGAAATTATAATAGATAGCATTCTGTCCCACTGTTCATGAGATTTAACTCTTCAGAGGGCGCAATAAATATAGCCCATTAAATAATACAGGCCAGACAATGCTGACTTATTAAAACTGAAATGTCACTTTGGGTTTGAATTGATTTTTTTTTTATTTGAGGACCTCTTAGGCTTGCAAATCAGAACTGCCTGCTATTCGCAAGTCTGAAGGAGCTTGACTTTCTCAGGGTTAGTTTTATAAATGCAGATTGATGGGGAGGGTTAGTGTTGGGTCGGGATCGAATGGCCTTCTCTAGGGACTTGAATTATTCATGAATATCCATGTGTTTTGCATTTCTTGCTTAACACCATGGAAGGTGGGGACAGGAGGAAAATGTAGCCAGCTGTGAACACAGACTGCATTCTTGAACAGGGTTAGCAGTTAGAGGAGGGTAGGGGTGGACAAGGGTGGGGGCTGAATCTAATTTTATAGGAATTTAAATCAATAAACCTTGAAACTAAACAACTGGCCAATAGCTGACAATACCAAGTCTTATGGTACCTACTGTTTATTTTTGACAAGTTGTGTACTCTATGCAAAGGCAAAAAACAATAAGTGAATTGCCTATCTTCTGACTGTAAATATAGCTGGTTTTGGCTGCCCCTGCAATGACCTTGAGGTTGACTGACTATTTGGAGATGGGGAAGTGTGCAACTGGCACTTGAATGTAGGACCCAAGAGAGCCTATGTCCACTCCCAGCTCACCTTCCTCTTAGCTCTGTGACTCCCAGAATGTTCTCTACCATTTCTGAGCTGCAGATTCCTCATCTGTAAAATGATGCATTTTAAACCTCTTCAGTGTTTTCAAGTTTTTTTTTTTAGATACAGAGCACTTTATTCAAACAAAACATTTCCCGCAAGTCACACACACAGTATAGATCAAAGCAAGGCTATTTAGACTGAAGTGGGGGCAGGGGCAGATGAGATGGACAGGCAAGGAGATACCAAAATTCTCATTTTCCTAACTGGGTAGAATTGGCAATTTCTAGATATTTTTCCTGGTCTCATTTCCCAAAATACCAGGCCTAGGAAATCGGGATGAACATAGAGCCAGCTCTTTTCCTAATTCCCAAAATACCAGGCCTAGGAAATCGGGACGGACATAGAGCCAGCTCTGTTTCTAATTCCCAAAACAGGCCTAGGAAATCGGGACGGACATAGAGCCAGCTCTTTTCCTAATTCCCAAAATACCAGGCCTAGGAAATCGGGATGAACATAGAGCCAGCTCTTTTCCTAATTCCCAAAATACCAGGCCTAGGAAATCGGGACGGACATAGAGCCAGCTCTGTTTCCAGTTCCCCGGTTGGCTTCTCACTGGCCCTTGTCCCTCTTCCCAGGATTTACAGGCTTTGTGTCTTACAAAATTCCTCAGCTTGAGCACTGGGAATGGTCATCTACTCAAGAGACTCAGAATCAGAATGAACCACACTAAAAAGAGACTATCTTCAGGTTCCTCCTCTGACTTCACAGGAATCCTGTGTGCGTACTCTATTTTGAGAGCAGTTAGAGAAAGAAGGAATGAAGAATGATGAAAAGTAAATAAAAGAAAAGATTCTGGGGTTAATGCTACAGTATTGCACCCGGCGGGCTACAGCTAAAACTCACATAGTAATTTAGAGGAAAAATCAGCCACATCAGACTATACCAATATGTGACAGCCAAAGGCAAAATTTCTCTGTCTTTATTTTCCCTACCAGATAAATGCCTGTGAGGAACCAGCTGGTTCCCCTATGGCTACTGTAACCTTATTATTGTAGAGGTATATTCTGGGGTCAAAGAGAAGTTGTCCTTTGTCATCTGAGCCCTCATTTTGGTCTCAGCTCTGGATAATAAAACCATTTTATAATATTATTTTTCTGACAAACAGAAAATGCACCACCTTTTACCAGAATGCAAACTTCATCTAGAGAAGTGAGCCAAGAAAGATATCCAGGGAAAACCCTGCTTTGGCCTCAAAACTATGTGACCTCAATGCTAAATGCAAAAAGGCAACCTCAAACCCCACCACCCCCACCCCCCCCCCCGAAAAAAAAACTGTCTTAATTTATTTTTCTTGATGTTAATTAAGGCTATCAGAACAGTGACCTTAAAAGTGTAACATCTCTTTAAATAAGGAGACGAAATAATGACCTGCCCTAAAGATCACCATGGAATGGATAAAATATGAATTGATTATGCATGCAATTACCCCAAAATTTGTTATTTTACAAAATTGAATTCTTTCTTGCTGAAGTCCAGTGCTGGGTAATTAAATGCAGACTGTACTTAATTTTGTCACAGTACAAATAGAGAGGTTATGGAAAGTGTATGGCTTCATCGTCATTAATATTCCACTGGTGTTGGAATAGATTAGCAAGTGAAGACCACAGCAGGTTAGGATTATGTGAATCTATTCAAACCCCACATAATGAATGTGGAGAAGAGTGATTTGAATGTCTAATATCAGTCACTCAGTGAAACAAAAAAAATTCTCATCCTCACTCCCAAGTTTTGAAAGAGCTATTTCATGAATTTTTACTCATAATTATAATCAGAACTACCAAAGTAAATTGTTAACAATTGCCAAGCTAAAGGGACTTTTTTTTTTTTTTCTCTAGAAAATTTCTCAATTTCCCATGCTGTTGAATCCCTATTTTGTAGCTCTTTCAACTACAAGGATTCAGAGCAATTGCCAGCCAGGGGGATTCAGATATGCTTCCATTTTAACCCTCTCCTACACTCACCCCTCCTGAGACTCATATTTGTCCCTCTTGAATTCAACAGCCAGATGTGGTTATTTTCACTTTCTACTGGGGATGGCTAAAGTGCACAGCCATTTGCATTGCTCTTCAATGAATTAGTCTAGGTAAAGTTATTCCAAAGAAGGAATTAGATGCTATAATTAAGGGACTAAGGGAGGAAAGAAAAATGTCCCAATTCCAAGATGAAACAAACAGTATCCAGAATCCTTGACGGTGGAGATAGGGAATCAAACAACAAATTTTAGGGAAAAAGATTGGCAGAAAATAGCAAAATTAATCATGAGCTCTGGTGGAGAGTAAGAAAGGAAAATGAAGTGTTACAGGATGAAAGAGTCACAGGGAGTCAACTACAACTATGGGAAGGTCCTGTAGTATCTCCCCTGCAGCCTCAGGAGATTTTCTCCCCGATGATGGCACCATAATTACAGGGAAACAGAAACAGATTTATCAGTAATTTTACCCAAGACTCTCTGAAGGGGCTTGACAACTATCATCATTTTCTACTAAGTCAAAGCTTCAACACTTCTTAGAATGTGAATACAGATAGAAAATATATATATATTTATACATATATTTTACATATTTTTATATATTTATATATTTTTATATATTTTATATATTTATATATTTTTATATATATCTTTTACATATATATCTTTTATATATATTTATATATATCTTTTATATATATTTATATATATGTATATATATGAGTGACAAAGTTTCTTTCAAAGCAAGAGTCACTCATTTTTGACTCAACATTTTTGATGTTGCCAAAGCCACCATCTTGACATTCCAAATAAATATAAGTAAAACCGTCCTTCATCTGCTGGACAATAGCACCAAGTGAAAAGCTCTCTGTATGTTGAAAATACTGATACCAAAATATAACATATTTTTTTTTTGAGATGGAGTCTCGCTGTGTCTCCCAGGTTGGAGTGCAGCGGCGTGATCTCGGCTCACTGCAAGCTCTGCCTCCCGGGTTCACACCATTCTCCTGCCTCAGCCTCCTGAGTAGCTGGGACTACAGGCGCCCGCCACCACGCCCAGGGTTTCACCATGTTAGCCAGGATGGTCTCGATCTCCTGACCTCGTGATCTGCCTGCCTCGGCCTCCCAAAGTGCTGGGATAATAATAATTTTTAAGAAGGGGATGAGAGAGGAGAAAAGTTGCCTTGAGTTTGTTGAGTCTATCCACCTGCAAGCTCATATGGGAACTGGGTTTCTCATCCAGACTTTGCTGGCTCTTGCTTCCCCCTGCTCATATAGGGAACTCTGCTCTCTGTTAAACCTCCCCTCTGTCACCCATAGTTTTTAGGAGTTCCCAGTGGGTGCCTCTCATGTCCTCTTAGACATAGCTAACAGCATGCTTGGATTATCACTGCCAAATCCACAGGGAACGCACATCTCTGCTAGGTACCACTGCTACTGTCATCCATCTACCACCAATTTTGGCTGGCAACATTTGCCACACACAGCCACTGCTATGGGCTTTTGCCATTAGTGCTCAGAAATTTCTGCCATCTTCCTGCACATGTTGCAGAATTTCATTGAATGACGTGGATGGAACTGGATGTCATTATGTTCAGTGAAGGAAGCCAGGCAGAGAAAGACAAATATCACATGTTCTCACTCACATGTGGGAGATAACAAAGTGGATCTCATGGAGGTAGAGAGCAGACTGGTGGTTATTGCAGTCTGGGAAGGGAAAAGGGAAGGGGAGGATGAAGAAAAGTTGGTTAAGGGATACAAAAATATAGTTAGATAGAAGAAATAAGTTCTACTATTCCATAGTATGATAGAAAAATTATAGTTTACAATAACTTATTGTATATTTCAAAACAGCTAGAAGAGAAGAGTTTCAATGTTCCCAACACAAAGAAAAGATAAATGTTCGAGGTGATGGATATCCTAATTACCCTGATTTGATCATTACACATTATATGCATATATCAAAATATCACTTGCACTCCAAGAATATTTACAACAGCTACATATCAATAAAAATTTTTAAAACAAGAATTGCATTAAATGTAGCTGCCACTTCCACTACCTCCTCCTCGATAGCGCCCCAATGATCAGGCCCCCATGATGCCGAAGCTGGATAGTGATTTAGGGGAAAATTTTTCTTCTTCCTCTTTACCCTCTGATAAGGCAGTATCGGCTTACCTAATATACATGTTTTTGGTGAAATAGTATTGCCATATTTTATTTTAAATCCTTTGTCAGCTTATGACCAAGACAAGGGTCATTCTTTGGTTGCTGAGCTGGAGTCTAACTCAAGTGTTACGTATCACTCAGTGCTCTCATCACTCTGCTCCTGCCTTCTGGCTGTAAGGGGTGTTGTGCTCGACTCTCTTTTTCCCTTAAAATAAGTTCTTATCTGGGATACTCTCATGCAAACAAATTCCTGATGGATCTGCTCCACTAGTCCATCAGACTTGCCCAGCCTAGTATTCAGGTGTAAAGACAACATAGACCCAACCAGGGATTCCACAACAAACACTAGCAAGAACAATTCTTCACATCCACCTAGCATGTTTATCTTTTTAAACATATGTCCACATTATTCTCTATTAATCCTTTTGTACTGCAGCATAGCTCAGGGTTGCAATTACTGGAACACTCTCTAATTCTAGAGAACTGGCCTCATGGGATGTTTCTGGGCATCTGAGTAAATAGAATCCAGTGCTAATGCAAGAACTGATTTGCAATCTTGGGCTTTTAAATTGTAGCTCTCAGCCACATGCTAAAGCACCATTCTATAAATACTGAAGGATATTTCTCTTGTTTTCTGCAGGGTGATAACACTAAAATCCCCATCCAATCTGGCCACGGGGTGGTTAAAAGCAAAGAGAGAAAACCTCTGAGCTCCAGGGCATATCTAGCTGCCCTGTTACCTCAGGTACTATACTGTACTGTAATTTATATTATACATATCTCTGTTCCCCACCAGCTCAGGGCTCATGTCTATCTTGTTCATCATGATATCCCCAGCACCTAGCCTCATATCTGACACACAATACTCACAATACATATTTTTGAATGAATGACTTTAAGATCTTCTGAAGTTTGAGTTACAAGAGTCTTTCCTTATTCATTTTTGTTTTACCTCCACCGTCTTCCTTTTGTGTGAAACTTACAAATGGCAGGTACTAAATAAATGATAACAGAATTCTATTTATTTCTCTGGATCTGACACATATACAGAAAAACACTGATTTGCTTTTCCATTGGACTGACAACATAAAGATATTCATATACCTTACATAGGGAGCTACAATTCCAAACAGGATATATCTTTAGAATTTAGGAACAAAGAGATTAATTATCATGCTTTCAATACTCAAGTCTTAAATATAAAATGAATGAGTTTTGACAAAGAAGTAGCCCCCACCAGAAGGATAGTTTTCAGATGTGCCAGTGTAGGACTAGGGTGTTTCCCAGGCCTCCATCTATAAAGTCAAGGTGTTAACACTAATCTAATTATGGAGTCCTTTTAGGGAAAAAAAAAATGACTAGAATGATGCTGTAAACTTCATCAAGGAGGAAATGTCCTTTGCAAATTAGCAGGCTGGCTCTCCAGCCAAGTAGATGTTCTGTGCATAGTGTGAGTCAGTCTCTGGAGTTCAATCATCTCTGAGGAGCCTCTGTAGAGCACAGGGGCTATATCCATTAAGAAGCCAATCCACCATGACGCCCAGAAGCAGCTGACAGCTCCTCTTCATGTCTGTGTAGCTGCAAAATCATTGCCTATGTGCAATGATGCCTCCTGCCTTTCTTTTTCTCAAGTGTTATGACCTCGGGCCATGTTTATCCATAAAGCTCCTGTTTCCTCATCGCAAAATAGCAGTTACACTCAAAACTATGCCCCCCTTACAGCCTAAATTTGTGACATTGCATTAAATCTCTTGTCTGAAACTCTTCCTTTGGAGGTCAGTCAAATGTGAATCTATAATTCTATGATTCTGATTACACCCAATATTGAAAGAAAGTCCTATCAGAGAGCCTCACCTGTATCCATCAAACATATTGCTTCGCGCGTCTGGAGGAGTTCCAAATCTGAGTGCTGACATCTCTGTGGCTGCGTGTGCTGTTGGCCAGGAGTGTCAGGGAACTGACACCTTATAGGAGCAGCCCACAACCAACGAATGACTCTCAAGAGTTGGAGTATAAATTCCCCAGTCCTCTTGCCCTCAGCTGGGTTCATTTCAAGTCCAAGTCTTGGGTTCAACACCATGTTCTATACTCTCCTTTCAGGATCAACTACCAGAAGCCCACAGTGGCAGCTAACTTTACAGAGCACACTCTATTTTCTGCCTTTTCTTCCCTGTATCACTCCCCACGCTCTCCACAGCCCCAATAAATTATTCGTACCTAAATTATGTCTCAGGGTCTGTTTTTAGGGGAATCTGAACTAACACACATACATATTGAACTAAATTGAAAGTAATGTTTCAAGAATTTGAGTCTTTTTCTGTTTTCTCTCTTAACCTCCAGAGAAGAGAAGGGATGAAGAGTCACTATCGTAGGAGGTGCCTATATGAATTGGATGTTATTACCTGGCTGCCTTCCCTGCAGGGTAAACAGCCTAACACAGCAGTGTGTAAAACTATCTGATCCTGAGGCTGCCCCGTGCACCCAACAAAATGTTCTCTCTCTATATTCACATCAGCGTGTGATGTCATTCCAGACGCCTTCAGAAAAGCTGTAGTTTGTGATTAACACAGCAAAGGCAGCCTTACAGCTCCTAAATAGGTGGGAAGAAATACAAAGCAAAGAGAAATATCCAGAGATTAATAATAATAACGAAAGAACGCATCCGGCCGGGTGCAGTGGCTCAGGCCTGTAATCCCAGCACTTTGGGAGGCCGAGGCGGGCGGATCACAAGGTCAGGAGATGGAGACCATCCTGGCTAACACGGTGAAACCCCGTCTCTACTAAAAATACAAAAAATTAGCCGGGCGCGGTGGCGGGCGCCTGTAGTCCCAGCTACTCGGGAGGCTGAGGCAGGAGAATGGCGTGTACCCAGGAGACGTAGCTTGCAGTGAGCCAAGATCACACCACTGCACTCCAGCCTGGGCAACAGAGCGAGACTCCATCTCAAAAAAAAAAAAAAGAAAAAAGAAAAGAATGCATCCTTAATTTTTATAAAAATAATCCTGGATTATTATTAAGTAATCCCTGATTATTTAATTATTTACTTAAATATTTAATTATTATTTAATTATTTAATTATTATTTAATTAAATAATCCTATTATTAAATAATCCCTGGTTCATAATTTATTTGTAAACTTATATAATTTATACATTTAGTCAGGATGGTGTGGACCTGCATTGTCCAATACAGCACCACCCAAATAGTCACCTGTAGAGTGTGAGCGAGCCCTGGAAATGTGTCTGATGCAAAATGAGATGAGGTGTAAGGATGAAATACACATCTGGCTTCAAAGACTTAGTATAATGAAAAAGAACTTAAGATATCTCATTAGTGATTATATTAATTACGTGTTTAAATGATAATATTTTGGATATGTGACATTAAATATTAAAATTAATGTCACCTGGTTCTCTTCACTTTTGTAATGTGGCTACTAGACAATTTATAATTACTTAAATGATTCACATTATATTTTTATTAGATGGCACTGGTCCAAATTATATTGTGGTAACAAACTCTGAATTCTCAGCAGTAAATAATACAAGAAAGATGAATTTCTTAGTCATGGTCCATATAAAAAATCGTACAAAATGGTACATATACAATCTCAGTGAGGTGCTCTGCTCCAGGAAATCTCTCAGGGAACTAGGATGTTGGAGAGACGGCCATTTTGATGAGATAAATGAAAATGAAACTTACTCTGTTGCCCCTGAAGAGGAAGGGAGTTCTGGAGGATTTTGCTTTAGCACAAAATATTTTGTCTCAGAAGGTACAGATATCATTTTTACTCAGGCCATTGTCAGAACTTGTCACAAAACTCCAACTGCAAAGGGGACAGAGAAATGTCACTCTCCCATGCTTCAGAAGATGAGTCAGAGTAAACAAGAGTGCACACCCGAAGTGTCTACTACAATGTGCATAGCTTGTTGATGTCGAAACTTCCAGTGTTATTCATTCTAGGCCATAGTATAACAATGTGAACATGGCAAAATGATATTGTAAAATATCAGTCATTTACACCTTGACAAAGCCACTTAAGCATCTTTTCCCAAGGAAGATTTTGCAAACTGGCAGAAATGCATTTTCAGGTGAGGAAAAGAGCCTGGGGATGAGGAATTGTCATAGAACTTATATGTTAGAAGTATAGAAGACAAACTTGCCTGGCCACTCAATTTTTTTCTAGCAGTGTCCTGTGCTTTGACATAGATCACAGGTGAATAAAATCAGATCAAATATCACCTAATGCAAGCCAGACAGTGGCTCAGACAGAACATGCAAGGTGAACTCACCACAGTCCCAAATCTAGCTATCATGTAGAACTTGTTGGAACACTGAGAGTGGCTTCATCTCTCAGGAACAAAGTCATATTTAAACAGGATTCTAGAATTCCAAAAATTCATTAATGATACTTGAGAAACTTCCACATTCTGTGGAAATAATTTAGTCAAGGAGAACATGCTGATTACGTCGCTTGACTGAGCTCAGCTAACTATTAGGTGTAGACATATAATACTGCCCATGACCTAGTACTCTTCTTACTTTGTGCTTTCATGACTGAAACCATCTATTTCCACAGGTTTTCTCCAAACAGAATACGCACAAGTAATGAGATTTCGGATGGCTAAATTGCATTTGTATCCACTCCATACTGCCTCTGTGAGATGACTTCCAGAAAACCTTGATTATAGTTTTGAATATTGCCCCCTTGTATTAGTCTGTTCTCACACTGCTAATAAAGACATACCTGAGATTGGGTAATTTATAAAGCAAAGACATTTAATTGACTCACAGTTCCACACGGGTGGGGAGGCCTCACAATCATGGCAGAAGGCAAAGGAGAAGCAAAGGCACATCTTATTTACATGGCAGCAGCCAAGAGAGCATGTGCAGGGGAACTGCCCTTTATAAAACATCAGATCTTGTGAGACTTACTCACTATCACGAGAACAGCATGGGAATGACCTGCCCCCATGATTCAATTACCTCCCACCAGGCCCCTCCCATGACATGTGGGAATTATGAAAGCTAAAATTCAAGATGAGATTTGGGCCAAACCATATCACTCCTCCTTCAACACATATTCATTCACATGACTATATCTCCTCACTTATGATACAAAGACTTTTGCCAATATAATGTTCAGAGGGTGCTGACACTGATAAGTTCTCAAGGACACCCCTGCGGTCACCATGAAATAAAATGCTGTCTGATTTGAGTTAATGCAGTGACTTTATTTTCTATGGCAAATTATGTCACATTTGGCTTAAAGATTTGGTACTCCGACTAGAAAGGGAAAATTGAAAATTAGGCCCAATAATTCTAGAATGTATGAAAGATCTCATCAAGCCAATGATCTGCCTCTTATTTTAAAAAAATTTGATGAAACTGGCTTTACCGTCCAAGTTTTTTCTTCAAATACTAATTCATTTTTACTGAAAGGTATTAAGATATCTAAATACAACAAATTAATTAAATGTTTGATGAGAAGCATCTGTCACACATACATCTTCTACAAGCATTAAAGAAAATGCACTATGTTTATAGAGACACATTTTCTGCTGTTACTGAGAGGTTTTCAATATGATGCTCAGGACAGGCCAACATAATCCCCACTGTGTTGGCCCTGGGAAGGTTGCAGAATGACAGGTATACCAAGGACAAGTACAGTCAATAGTCAGGTTTACAGATAAAGCAGATGGTTTATTACACTGCATGATTCCAAAAGTGATAGATATAGCCCCCCTGAAAAAAATGCATTCTGGACTGAAGTGCAACCATATCTGATGTTCCAGTCTTTTAATATTCTTGGAAGGTTAGAGTTAAAGGGATCTTAGCAGTTGATATAGTTTGGATATGTGTGCCTTCCAAACCTCATGTTGAAATGTGATCCACAATGTTGGAGGTAGAGCCTAATGGTAGGTGTTTGGGTCACACAGCAGCAGATCTCTCATGAGTGGCTTGGTGTCTTTCCCTCAGTAATGAGTGAGTTCCCACTTGGTTAGTTCACACGAGAGCTGGTCATTTAAAAGAGCATGACCCTTCCCCACTCTCTCTTGCACCCTCTCTCACCAGGCGATACCTGTTCTCTTTTGCTTTCTGCCATGTTGGAAGTTTCCTGAGCCTCAAACTAGAAGTAGATGCTGGCGTCACACTTCCCTCTTTTCACACTATCCCTCTTTTCTTGATCAATTACCCAGTCTCATATTCCTTTATATCAATGCAAAATGGACTAATATAGCAGTCTACTCCTATTCTCAACCTTTTGGGTTAAGCATTACCCTTTATAACTCTTTCTATTTAAAAATGCAAATGATACTAAGAGTGGCAGCAAATCAAGACAATAGTGTTTTAATTAGTGCACACCTAGGACCAGAAAACCTGAGTACATAAAATTATTAGATGCCTCAGGAGAGGCATAGCAAATGCAGTCGGACAGAAGTAGTATGACATTATGAATAATGTGTCATAAAAAGGAGACAAGTGGTCATCATAATTTTATTCAGTGTTCTTACTAAGCAAAATATAATTTACAAGCTTTAAGCTATGCATTTATATCCCTTTGATTCCCCACAGCCTCTCATAGGGTGCCTTAAAGATGTAAAAGATTCGATAAATGCTTATTCATTTAATATGTATAATTTTTCACTAACTGCATCCTTGTCACTGATCTATGTTCTAAATGTATGTCACAAACAAAATAGTCTCTGCTTCAAGGGGCTTAGTGCCTATATGGGCTTTCCAAACAATAAAATATATCATTAAAATTCGCTGTAGGTACAAGAGCAAAATACAAAAATCAGTTATATTTCTACACACTAAAATAAATAAAAATAAAATTTTAAAAATTATTTACAATATCAAAAACAAGAAAATACTTAGGAATAAATTTAAGCAAAAAAGTATAAGACTTGTAATCTGGAAAATAAAAAACATTTTGAAGAAAAAAACTAAAGATATATGTACATGAAGAGAACTTTCTTGTTCATGAATCAGACAACTTAATATTGTTAAGATGGCAATAATCATCAAATTGATCTGCTGATTCAACATAATCCCTATAACAGATTACTTTTTTTCAGAAATTGACAAGCTGATCCTAAAATTCATTTGGGAATTCAAGAAATGAAAAACAGCCAAAACAATCTAGAAAAAGATAAACAAAGCTGAACAACTCATCCTTTGCTATTTCAAAATTTACTATAAAGCTATAATAATCAAGCCAGCATGGTGTTAGCAAGAAGTAGATACGCAGGTGAATAGAACAGAATTGATGATCCAGAAATTCACCTTCACAATTATGGACAAAGGAGCTGCAGAGTGAGTATTCCAAAGAAGATATACACATGGAAAATAAACACACGAAAAGATGCTTAACATCATTTGTCATTAAGGAAATGCAAATTAAAATGACCATGAGATACCAGTTCACTCACTGGGAGGGCTGGACTAAAAAAGGCAGATAATAACAAGTGTTGGCGGAACTGTGGAGAAATTGGAACCCTCATACATTGCCGGTGGGGACGGAAAATAAGGAAGCCACTTTAGTAAGCAGTTTGCTGACTCCTCAAAAGGTTAAACATAGAATTACCACTTATGATCCACTACTCAGTATATATCCAAGAGAATTAAAAACATATGTCCACTCAAAAACGTATGCATGAATGTTCATAGTAGCACTATTCATAATAGCTGATTGTGGAAACAGTCTAAATGTTTATCAGCTGATCAACAGATAAACAAAATAGTATATATCCACACAATGGAATATTATTCAGTCACAAAAAGGAATGAAGTTCTGATCCATGACAGCACATGGATGAACCTTGGAAGCGTTATGCTATGTGAAAGAAGCCAGGCACAAAGAACCCCATATTGTTTGATTCCATTTATATAAAATGTCCAGAATAGGCAATTTCATAGAGACAGAAAATGTATTAGTGGTTGCCAGGGGCTGCAGGTGAGAGGGAAGAGGGAATGGGGAGGGGGTACATAGATCCTCTCGGGGGTGATTAAAAAGTTCTGAAATTAAATAGTAGTAATTCACACACAACTTTGTACATATACTAAAAATCGCCAAATAATACTTTTAAAAGGTGAACTTTGTGGTATATAAATATGCAAAGGAATTTAGACAAACTACACAGTCTAAGGAAATAGTCCCCCAAAGATTGTTCTCACTTCAGACGCCGCCACAAATTTGGGGGTCCCCAAGGCTGCCCTCACAGAGCAGCTGGCTACAAATTAGGGGGTTTCCTGTGATTATCCTCAGGTTTGATAATTCACTAGAATGACTCACAGAACTGAAGAAAGCATTATACTTATTGTTTTATTATAATAAATGAATACAAATTAGAACCAGCCAAAGGAAGAGAAGAAGCAGGGTGATATCTGGGAGACTTCTAAAGGTGGTGCTTTCATTGTCCTCAGAAATGTGTTACCTTCCTACCTTCGATGTGTTACCACACACATGTTGTACTGCCAGCCTGAGAAGTTCACCCAAGATTAGGTGTCCAGAATTTTTATTGGAGCTTTATTATGTCAGCATAATCGATTGAATCATTTTTCATATGGTTGAACTCAATCTCCAGCTCTGCTTCCCTTCCAGAGATGGGGTTAATATCGCACAGTTCAGATCCTTGACCCTCTCATCACTTGGTTGGACTTTCTGGCATGACCACACTTCACCCTGAGTCACACTTCACCTTAGCATAAACCATCAGACCCACCACGAATAGACTTATCACTCCAGTTTTAGACAGTACCTCCCAGGACCCAGGACAAAATTCAGACCTTCCTTTAGGTGAGGCCAAATTCCTTACTACACAAAACTGTATCTCAATAAAGCTGTTACTAAAGAAATAAACAAACAAAAAAAACCCTCAGAATATTGAATCCAATGCATGATACTCCCTACCTGTATATAAAATAAATACAGAAATTTAAGTCATATTAAACATTTTTAGCCAGATTTGTTAGAGGGGTAATATGTTTAAATATGATTACTGGTATTGAAATAATGCCAAAACAAAGGAAATTTTAAATACCTGGGAATAAAATGGAATTTGCTGTGGAAGTGCTGTGATGGAAGTAAATACGGGCAACTGTGGAACAAGTAAGACATGCAGACACTACAGAAGAAATCAAGAGATGCTCCTAGAAAGCACTAACTTCAGGAAGTTTCTATGGAGTGCAGTGGTGAATTATGTGAACACAGCAAAGCAATGAAATCTTTGAAGAAGCCAAGACCACACTGGACCTCAATGTCAAGAAAATCCAAATGGAAAGCTTGACTTAGTTCCGGGGTCCAGAGTGATGGATTAGAGCTCTTTATGCCTCTACTCCTCAAAGAAAGGATTTATCTCAGAGTCTAGGCAGGACCATGTCTTCAGCTGAGGACCAAGGGGCCCCAGATGTCCTAAGAAAAGAGGAATGTAGAGGGCATGGCTCAGGGGGTCAACATGAAACCCACAACTGCAATGAATCTATTTGGGACCATTGCGTGGCTCCAAAGGCATTGATGTTAATCTTTGTTTTGCCACACAAATAAGCCATGTGAGGAACATCCTAGAACAATGGCTTAGTGTAGACCCTTCCCAAGGACAGAACTTCTGAAGACAAACTTCAGTTAGGAAATTACAAGAACCCTGTTTTTATGCGATGCCAAAACAAGGATCATAAGTTAAAATATATATTAAATAATGTTACAATAAAGTTGATTGTTTCGTTTATCCAATGTATACACCTTTGAACATTTGCTGACCATTTATTTATTCATATAACAGGTATTTATTGGCTGCATTTTAGTCTTTGATGATACAGAAGTAAACAAGCCAAATAAGATAGAGTTCTAAACTCAGAGATCTTAGATCTTAGAGGGAGCACAAGTAACAAATTTACAAATATACACACATGTAATAACATAGATATATACATAAGAAAGATAATTCATACAGTGACAAGTACACTAAAGAAAATACAAGAGAGAAATGAGATTAAGAGTGTCTGGGAAGGGGAATTCTAATTCCAGTATGTTAGATCACAGAAAGCCTTGCTAAGGCAGCGACATTTGGATGACATTTTGCATGGACAACAGCCAGTCAAAATCTGGAGGAAGAGTTCCCAGCGGAGAAAACATCAAGTAGAAAGGGCCAGAAGTGAAAATATGCCAGGGATTGAGGCACAGAAAGAGGGATAGGATGGAAAGGATGGGCCAATTTACATGGCGCCTCAGAGGCCCCGGGGAGGAGTGTGGATTTAACTATAAGTGCCATATAGTAGACCGTGTGGATGACACAGTCATGCTCTCTGCCCTCCTGAGACTTCCAGGCTAAGCTATAGGACACAAACAGTAAACAGCCACAAAATCAAACATAGATTGAGACATGTTGCAGCGCAAAAGCTCCAGCTCACCATGGGTCTCCAGAACCAGAAAACCTGATTTAACATGGGGGTAAGGAGGGCTTCTCGGAGAAAGTAGCCTTCGTGGAGAAATTCCAAGGGAAGTTACAGAAGCATAACTTGTTATATTAATCTATTATTTTAAAACATATGTATTAGTATTCACAGGATTCATTCGCTTTAATTAAAATTTTAAAATGGTGACCCTAAAGAGGCTGCTGATGAAAAAGAATGACAAATTTTCAGTCAAACAGAATACATCCCATCAGACAAGAAAATTTTATTATCTTTGCAATGACAGATTGATTCACTATACAGGACTTCATAATGTTTGAAATTAGGAATATGGCATTAAAGTTCACGAACTGATTACCATAATTACAGTTCATTTGATCTTGATTGCTTTTGTAGGGACTCCTGATTCAATCTGTCTGCCCTTGTAATTTCTAAAGCTTGTTTCTTGCAAAGGTAAGAATTTCTTAAGATAATAATTCAGTGTTTCCTTTTCAGCCCTTCCCCTCTTCCCATACTATATTGTGACAGTTGGTTCTATTGTAAATATATATTTTAAAAACATAGAGTTTTATTAGTCCATTAGTACTTACGGTTAGAAAAGATTTTCAGGGACTCAAAACAACTGAGAAGAGGCAAGCATTATTGATTCTATTTTACAGGTGAGGAGGTATAGGATCATCAAGGCAAAGTGAACTATCCCAAGTCACGTAACCAGTAAGGGGCAAAGCTGGGGCTGGGACACAGGTCATTTTTTTTTTTTTTTTTTGAGACAGAGTCTCACTCTGTCGCCCAAGCTGGGATACAGTGGCATGATCTTGGCTCACTGCAACCTCCGCCTCCCGGGTTCAAGTGATTCTCCTGCCTCAGCCTCCCAAGTAGCTGGGATCACAGGTGCCTGCCACCAGGCCCAGCTAATTTTTGTATTTTTAGTGAGACAGGGTTTCACCATGTTGGTCAGGCTGGTCTTGAACTCCTGACCCCGTGATCAGCTGCCTCAGCTTCCCAAAGTGCTGGGATTACAGGCAAGAGCCACCGTGCCCAGCCAGGTCTTCTTACTGTACTTTTATTTATTTTTTGAGATGGAGTCTCTCTCTGTCGTCCAAGCTGGAGTGCAACAGCACGATCTCAGCTCACTGCAACCTCCGCCTCCCAGGTTCAAGTGATTCTCCTGCCTCAGTCTCCTGAGTAGCTGGGACTACAGGCACACGCCACCACACCCAGATGATTTTTGTGTTTTTAGTAGAGATGGGGTTTCACCATGTCAGCCAGGATGGTCTCAATCTCCTGACCTCGTGATCCGCCCGCCTCGGCCTCCCAAAGTGCTGGGATTACAGACGTGCCCTACTATGCCCTACCCTTACTGTTATTTTCTATTCTTCAAGTTGCCAGATAGTTCTAAGATACTGGACCCACACAGGCAGAGTGCCATCCCCACATTGTTATTCACCAACAAGGAAATGCATGTGACAGTTTGCCTGCTTTGTTTTTTTGTTTGTTTCTGAGACAGGGTCTCACTCTGTCACCCACGCTAGAGTGCACTGGAGCCATCTCAGCTCACTGTAGCCTCGAGCTTCTGGCCTCAAGTGATGCTCCCACTTCAGCCTCCCTTGTAGCTGGGACTACATATAGGCCTGTGCCACCCAAGCCTGGCTTATTATTTTTATTATTATTGAGATAGAGTCTCACTCTGTCGCCCAGGCTGGAGTGCAGTGGCGCGATCTCGGCTCACTGCAGCCTCAAACTTTGGGGCTCAAGCAATCCAAAGTGCTGGGATTACAGGTGTGAGCCACTGCATGCAGCCTGTCTTTGCTTCTTTAGTAAAAAATAGTGGAGAGGGTAAAATGAAGCAGAGAACAGAAGGTAAGTTTATATTTAAAAGCAAACCGTTTTTGATCCAAACTCCCCTGACAACTTTCTGATTTCTTGGCTTATACTTTAGAACTAGGATCCTGGAAGCCAAAGGACAAACCAGTATCGACTCCCTGAGGCATGGGAAGTGGCTGGCAGTAGAGGAAATTTGTTCCTCCACAGACAGCGAGCCCTGAAGAAGATTGCTAGATCTGGAACCCAGCCCTGGTCCAGCCAAGAGTGTGTGGGCTTAGCAGGACACCGAGGAAGCCAAGGCTTCCAACATGGGAGTATTGACTGGTGGCTGCTATTCGGATGACTTGGCCATGGGAGGTAAAAGAGGCTGAGAACATAGGAATAAGCCCCAGAAAGGTAATAGTGAGCATTAATTGGCCACCAGAAAGCCCCCCAAAATAACTGGGGCCTCAAAAGAAGAAACTTGCCCCCAGACAAGACCATGAGATAAAAGCTCAGTTGTAGGGAGAGAGTTGAGCTGGTATGGGGAGAAACACAGTGATAGTTGTGTCTCAAGGATAAAGTGAGGGCTGTGGAATTATCCCAAAGGACCAAGCCCAACTCCTTATATCAACACAGACTTGAGAGAGAGGGAGAAAAGAAGAAGACCAATAGGTATTGTTTGAGGATGAACTGTGTCTCTTCCAAAATTCGTTTGTTGAAGTCCTAACCCCTAGTGCCTCAGGATGTGACTATATTTTGAGATAGAATCTCTAAAAAGGTAATTAAGTTAAAATGAAATCATTAGGTTGGGCCCTCATCCAATATGACTAGTATCCTTATAAGGAGGGGTGATGAGGACACAGATGGATACCAAGGGAAGACTATGTAAAGACATAGGGAGAAGGAGCCATCTACAAGCCAAGGAGAGAGGTCTCAGAAGAAATCCACTGCACTGTCCCTTTCAAACTTTCTTTTCTTTTCTTTCCTTTTTATTTATTTTTTTGACACGAAGTCTCATTCTGTCGCCCAGGCTGGAGTGCACTGGCGTGATCTTAGCTCGCTGCAACCTCCGTTTCCCAGGTTCAAGCAATTTTCCTGCCTCAGCCTCATGAGTAGCTGGGATTACAGGTGCATGCCGCCATGCCCAGCTAATTTTTGTATTTTGGGTAGAGAGAAGGTTTCACCATGTAGGCCAGGCTGGTCTCAAACGCCTGACCTCAGGTGATCTGCCCGCCTCGGCCTCTCAAAGTGTTGGGATTACAGGTGTGAGCCACCGCACCCGTCCGGTACTGACCCTTTCGTCTTGGAATTCCAGTCCCCAGAAATGTGAGAAAATAAATCTGTTGTTGAAGCCACTCAGGCTGTGGTACTCTGTTAGGGCTGCCCTAGAAAGAATACATATTTTTCTTCTAAGCCCCACACTTCTCTGGGGTAGGGAGAGTGTTTTACAACATGCACCCAGCCCTAAGGGGATTGACTGAAAAAGTGAAAGGAGTCAGAGGGTTTTCAGCAAATCTGTCTGTGGGGAGATAAGAGAGGGAGTTTCTGGGAAACGAGGAAGGAGGTGCTCTCTCCCTCCACTATCCCTATGAATTGCTCAACGAGAGCAGTAAAAGCAGCTGGCAAACACAACACACAAAGGGCCACCCCACTTCTCAGAATGAACCATTTCATTGGGATTTATGGAATAAAAGAAAGGTTGTTAAAGTCTTCACAAAAATCCTTGGCACAGATAGGAAAGAATCTAGAAGAAGAATATCAAGATTTGATGGGTAAGTCTTTCCAATAGTTCCTCTTTTGACATTCTACTATTTCCTTTTCTTTCTTTCTATTCTTTTTGTATTCAGTCATAGCCACTGTGGTTTATGCAGTTCTCAACTTGCCTTGATTATACTTTAGATTTGAAAAAGGTATAGAAAATCATTCAAATATGACATAGTAAATGAGATATGAAAAGAGAGTGAGTTACTCAAAGCCCTAAAGGGAAGCTAAGGCCCTCGGTGCTGCTGGGAACCCAGGCTGCAGGGCACTGGAGCAGCACTGTGGTTAAAAGCACCCCCACTGGCAGCACTTTGGGTCTGATAATTCCCTCCAGGTCTCCCGAAAGCCATCCTAAGCTGAGCACTCAGGTGGCGGAGGCGGAATGGAGCTTCCCCTCTGGGGAGATGGGAGCCCTTCCTACGCCCTTGACCAGCTGATCTTAATTATGCCGCACCAGAGGAATCAGCAAGGCCATCACTTGAAGATTTAATTATCTTTTCTTTACTCAAATCTTATAATGAATGATTCCAGGAGGTTATTAATTTTTCATTCCAGAATGAGCACATGAAGGCGGCCTAGTAGGAGGTTCTGCTGCCTTTGAAAAATTCCATTCATGCCTTGCGTCTGTGCCATGAATGAACTGTACATCCTCCTGATTAAGGTGCTGAGTTGTACTGGACCTTACTGGCAAGGGCTTAAGGCAAGGTCACACTTGGATTCACCGAAACATCTGTTAACCTCAATCTTGCTAAACCCATACTGCCTTCACCAAAGGCCACAGCACATTACACTACAGAACAGACTTTTCCAGCCAGAATCCCAGAGCCTCTTACATCTAACACCTTTCACTCCGTCCCCTCTGCTGCATTTCCCTGGCCTCTCATTTCGTTCAGGATTCATCTTCTTTCACTTGGACAATAAAGTTAGCCTTCATCTTTCTCTCCCAGCCCCTTCTCCTATACCCAACCATACCAAACTACCTGCAGTTGCTTGGACATACAATATCAGCATACCTCAGTGCCTTGTATGTTCTTTTTTTTCTTTTGCCAAGAAAGCCCTTCTGAACTTGTCCCACCTGGCTAACTTCTACTCCTTCAAAAAGCCACTCCAAGGGTCATGCCCTCTAGGAAAGCTCCCTACCTTCCCACAGACACATCATCATTGCCTCCTCTGGACTGGATCCTTCCTTATACAGAATGATTCAAAGAGAATTGAACACTTGTCAAAATATATTACTCAATAACTGGGTTATATATGAATATTTAGCATACAGCAAATTGTAGTGACCCTGATATTTCTCAATTTTCTTAATAACTATAGCACAAGACTGCCTTGGCCTAGTGCCCAGTCAGGCAGTATCCCCTTAGGCCCCTTAAATCATGAAAGAGGGACCTCTGCTCTATAGCCTGTTCTTCAGAGGGATCCACATGTTACAAACACACCCAAAACCATATTTGTTACAAAATACACAGTTATCTTTGCCACTTGGATCTGGCACTCAGCATTTGCACAGACAAACTCATAACTCTAATATCCACTCACAAATGACTTACACCATTTGGGTTCAAGAAAAATGCTTTTTCACATCTCTTATTCCATGTCCTGGACAAAAAGGACCTGCTTATAAACACTGTGAAACTTTTTGGGTTACATCATTCCTGAAGCTGGAGATGCACTGCTTTGGAGTATGGAGAAGAATTGACAGGCAGGAACACTTGGGTAAAGGGAAAGACAAAATAATTAACTTGTCTCTTCTGTCTTCTCAGATATGAATGCAATGGGCTCTTGCATATATATGAGTTGTCATTTTCTAATAATGCCATGTCCAATTTTTTGCTTCTTTTTGGTCTTGATGTTTTATTCCAGCAGCTTTTACAAATTAATGTAGTGTTCACAACAGCTGTACATGTTGGCTGAGCAACTTTTTGCAAAATTAAACAATTGCTTATGCAAACATCACTAGCCCATCAAAACAACACCTACATACATGCAATAATTAAGTTTAGTTGTATTGGATATTTTGTCAACTTTGAGTCAAATAAAAACATAGCTGCGCACATATTTCATCAAAATGATGGCATATTTGTCAAATTTGTTACTGTAATATATAACTTGTTGATAATCAGACATATGGATTGTGGGACTCTATCTTCTTGCCCCAAATGTTCAGGCCAACCCTGCACCTTGAGGCCCAGATATCAGCTACATCAACTTATTCTTAGGAAGAAATATCAGGATCCTCAAGTTTGGACCATTCTTTCGTTATTGCCTTGAGGAAATGAATTTGTACATTATGATGCTGTTGACTGCCAGAAGCTACAGAAGTTCCCTGATATTTTAGGAAAGATGCATTAGGCTTCTGGATTCATGTGATTATGAGCACGATGCATTTATACTATTACACCAGTAGCTGTAATTCCTTCCTGACAAGTTGGTTGTGACAACAGTTCACGTATACCCCAGTTCTACATTTATAATTTTTGAGAGTGTTCAATTCTTTTTGCATCTCCTGTGTACAGCTCTCATTTGTTATTTTGCAATTATGATTTTGTGTAACTGATTCAACTCCCAGAAGACAGGGTCTTCTTACATGTGCAGAACCTGATGTGTATGACTGTGTTTAATAAAATTTCTTACTGTTTGTCTTTCTTGAGAAAAGAATGAAGACATTTGTTAGAGGAAAGTTCTTAATCTTTGAAAAGAGATTACAGCTAATCAAGGGCTCTTCAGCAATATCGGCTTTTTCCCAGCTTTTTATTTTCATTTTATGGTTGGTGTTCCACAAACACACATGAGTAACAGACACCTTGGCAGCAGCCACCTGCTCTGGAGAGTGACATCTGTTCCCTACTCTTAAATTTCTTTATCACATCAAGGTTTTATTTCTTATAGCATTTAGTTCACAATTATTTATTTAGCATCTACTAGGTGCTCTAAATTGTTTTACTTATGCATTTACTTGTATGTTCAGCCAACCTTTTTTTGTATGTTCAACCAACATACAAATAAACGTATAAATAAGATAACTTAGAGCACCCTAGTTGATGCTAAAATTTATATTTATTTAATTTATAAATACTGGTTGAACCAATATTGTATATTTGTTCCTCATTGTTTTTCTTCCTCAGTGGACTCAACTCCATGAAAGTAGAGACCTGTCTGTCTTACTTACTATAAGACCTTCAGCACCTGGAAATAGCAGGTGTTAAATATACCTGTACTGAATGGATGAATGTGTAAATATGTATCTACAATCTCAACAACTGATTTTTTTTTTTGGTATTTTTCCCCTATTCTTACTTTAGTCAAACAATACCAAGGAGTAATACCTATTGGTTTTAAAACAACAACTACCCAAAAAAAATGTTTGAAAGGACTCTGAAATTAGCCCTTTCTTGATGGTAATTGATGGACTGGCGTTTTCAGTTTTTCACCTCTCATTTCTCTCCTAAGCCACTCTTCGTTCTAATATAGACTGTACACTGATGCGTGCTCCTGCAGCGGGTGCTGTAACTGCTCTGGGTACGATACCGCAGGGCCCCTTTCTCCCAGCAAAATCTGTGTCCCACAGCCACACATTCATTCTTCAGAGCCAAGAAGAGGATTTTTTTCAGTCAAATTTCATTTGCTTGGGATAAATCTCATAGGCTATTAAATCTGATTTGCTGATCCCTGCTAACAGAGCATTTGAAGAACCATCAAAAGGACACTGAAAGTGTCACAGGTATTACAGTAAGCCCTTGATAGTGGCTTTTAGTGTGTTGTATGACGGGGAATGCAGTCCAAAGATAAGAATAGGCAGACAGGGAGGAATCCAGCCCAATCGAGTTCATTTCACACATGTACAGCCACTGACATGTCTGCAATAAGACTAGACAATGCCGTTGTTGGCAAGCTTGTTAGAACTTTTTTCACATAACAAACTCTAATTAGTTTTTGGTGTATCTTCAGTGCAACTAAGCAGATGAAAGAAAGAACAAATATGGGTTGATTCTGAAGGAGCTCTGTTCTTTAAAAAAGCATACCCATGAAGCAGATCAATATCAGATCAAAACATGCATGAAAGAAGGATTCACAGTAATTTCATACAAAAATAGTTGGAGGAGGAGGTAAGCAACATAGTCCAAAAGCTGTTGTCAATCCCTTTCTCCTTTCTGTCTTCACAACTAAAAGGAAAACTGTAAGTTTCTTGTAAGCTCTCTATTAAACCAGAATGTATTTTTCATGCAAAATGTTAAACCTCCAGCTAATGCTTGGTGCATTTTTCTGACACAAGCAAGCCTGACTTAGGACAGGAAGCACTAAATAAAAATAGCTCTGTTAGGCCGGGCGCGGCGGCTCACGCCTGTAATCCCAGCACTTTGGAAGGCCGAGGCGGGCGGATCACGAGGTCAGGAGATTGAGACCATCGTGGCTAACATGGTGAAACCCTGTCTCTACTAAAAATACAAAAAATTAGCCAGGTGTGGCGGCATGCCCCTGTAGTCCCAGCTACTCAGAAGGCTGAGGTAGGAGAATTGCTTGAACCTGGGAGGCAGAGGTTGCAGTGAGCCAAGATCGCACCACTGCACTCCAGCCTGGGCAACAGAGCGAGACTCTGTCTCAAAAAAAAAAAAAATGCCCTGTTATATACTATCTGTGATCCTGATGATGTCAGAGCCAAGATACAGAAAAACAAGGCTGGAGACACTGTGCCACCAGCAGAATACACTCTCCTGCTTCCAGGTAAAACGAGACGCAAAGAAAGCCATCCATTTCCTGGAAACTGCTGTTCTAGAACAAATGTACATATATAGGAAATGCCCTGGAAAGAAAAGACAGGATGTAGTGGGCACATTTACAAGGCATGTCAAATGTAGCTCTCAAAATGATTGGATGGGTTGAGATGGGAAGTGCTGAGAAGAGGGCAGGGTTGAGGCTGAGAACACTCAGTCCTGCCGTAAGTCGGCAGGTGACACCAAAGTGTTAACATGGATTCTGGTGTGTGCATTTCTGCACTGATACTGTGAAATGTGTGTTCTTCTTTCATATAGTAGAAAAAAAATCAGGTCTTGAAAAATATAGTTATTTTAGCTGTTTCAATACTGGAATGCTTGAATATGATATATTTGCTAATTTAATTCTAAGTATTTGTTGCATATCCCCTCATTAAGTCATAGAAAACTGGAGGCAGTCACAACAGGGATACAGGCAGAGATGCCTGCTTTTACCAATGCCTAAATTTCATGCCAGCTGAGAATATCCCTGTGTCTAATGGGAGAGGTGCTGTGAAAACTGAATACAGCATTATCTTGCTTTATAACTGTGTTCCCTAATAACAGAAAGAGGGCTTTGGGCCATAATTAATAGCCATTCTTACAGATCTTTTAACTCCCCACAATCTCCAAGGAGCTTGCTTTCCATTAACATTTCCAGAAATAGCTTACTTTACATTATTAACGTGCTGCAAATGATAGCTTCCAAATTATTCCTAAGCTAATTATTAAAAAATGATTACACGAAAAGCTTTTCCCACTTTAAGTTGTACCTTTGAGTGCCTTGCAGTAAATATGAAGATAGAGCCGTGGCCCACTGGAAGATTCTCTCCTTGTAATGTAGTCAATTCCATTAAGTCAATCTCCAGTGTACTCTAAAATGTGTTTTCATTACAAGTTATGGTGCTGAATACCATGGGAAATGATATGCAAATAAGCAATATTAACTATGCCAGTTAAGACAAGCCAAACTAACTTAACGAAGGGGATATAGCCACTATAAAGTTATGTTTTCCTTTTTTTAAGGTTAATTAGACAGCCTAATTATCCCAGACGAGAGCATATTATTCTCTTGGAAAAGCAAGCATAATTAACTTAGAGAGTCTTCCTCCATAAGCAAAAACAAGTAAACAGAAAAATTCCAATGCAAAGTGGTTTACTTCTATTGAAATCCAAAGGGTGGCTCGATATGTAAATAAGAAGAAAAAGAGAGAGAGACACACCCACAAACACACATAATAGTAGTTGTTAAATGTGAACCATCCTAAGAGTTTATGAGATTTATGGAAGAGTTGCCTGGACTAGGATATATGGAAGAGTTTATATATATTCATAATATCTCATGTACAGAAAATATGCTTCTCAAGAAGAGAAAAGAAAATACTCCCTAGGGAAGATGTAAGTGTTAGACACTTGTTACTTTTGGCCATCCAGCAATCATCCCACTTTCTTCTGGTGATGCGACCCTGATTTTCCTTCTGGGGTACTACCTGTTGCACCTGCATTGCAGTTCCAACCTCTCTCCTCACTCAATCCTACTTCCCTCACTTCCTCACAGGTAACATTGCTGGGAGGATGCCCCATAATTCAACCACACACAAATGTTTATTTCAGAGTCTTAGGGAAGAGTCCTTTTCCCAGGGAAGCCAATATAGCATTGGTGCCAAGATCAGTCCTAGGAAGCAGAATCTAAAATGGGATTTTAGAGTTGCATCGCTTGCCAGCCAGCTGACAATGAGGATCACATACTGGTAGTTGGGGTGGAACTGGTAGCCCCCTATAGGCTATGGCAGGATAATTGTTAAAACTTTCACTGGGGCCGGGCAAGGTGGTTCACACCTTTAATCTCAGCACTTTGGGAGGCCAAGGTGGGCAGATCACTTGAGGTCAGGAGTTTGAGACCAGCCTGGCCGACATGGTGAAACCCTGTCTCTGCTAAAAATACAAAAATTAGCTGGGCATGGTGGCAGGTGCCTGTAATCCCAGCTACTCAGGAGGCTGAGGCAGGAGAATCACTTGAACCTGGGAGGCGGAGGTTGCAGTGAGCCGAGATGGCACCATTGCACTCCAGCCTGGGCGACAGAGCGAGACTCTGTCACGGAAAAAGAAAAAAAAAAAAAAACACAAAAACTTTCACTGGTGATAAATTGGAATAGAGCACAGATGGAAAGGAATTACCGGTGGGCATATTAACACAGGTATTTGAGGGTTTCAGGAAAAATAGCAAACATAAAGACAACTAAGTTGAAAATTGTTGCTGAGACTCCTGATGCATCAGAGTAAGACAAGAAAAAGCTGACAATAATTTAATTACTAATTTATGACAAATTATGGAAGCCTAAGGGCCCTCTTGGCAGCATATAAAGAGATGCTCATCTCCTATAGCCATAGGGAAGGAAACGCTGAGGTTCAGGCTCAAATCAATTATAATTGCAGTGGCGCCCCAGAGAAGGTTGAAACCCAACCCTGGAAAGCCTGTTAAACTAAATCCAGGACACTGATTGGAAAGGGGTAAGACCCTGCAATTTACATTTTCTTCTTAAATGCTAGGGGAAGCTTGTATGAATATGGCAGTGGCAAATGCCTGGGCTAGTTGGTTGGGAACCCACTGACATGTGAATGAACCTATGGGATTGGACACAGAGTGAGATCTGTGTATTGCAGATTAATTCTCAGCAAAAACCTTCCATCATGGAAGACACTAAACAACCAAATGGGCAAAAATTGTCCATTTGATGTAAGCCAGTTGATTTGATGCCAGTTGATATAAGCTAGCTTCAGTCATCCACCAACTATCCCTGTGCTGGCACAATGGCTAAATGAAGACAGCAGTCAAAATGGCAGGAATGGAAACTCTGCATGGGTCCACCAGCATGGGCTGCCACTCACTACTGCTATTCTTGCTACAGTTACTGGGGAATGTTTAATCTGCTGGCTACAGAGACCGATGCTGAACTCCCAAGATGGCACCATTACTCAAAGAGACCAACTAGCCACTTGGTAGCAAGCTGATGACATTGGGCCTCTTTCATTCTAGAAGGGACAGCAGTTTATGTTAAGTGAAGGTGACACATTCTGAGTATGGGTTTGTCCTTCTACACTGCAGGGTCTCAGCAGCATCAGTATATGGAGGGCTAATTCAGTATTTGGCCCACAAATACAGGATCTTCATCAAGGTTTTATTAAACCAAGAGCCCCATTTTACAGCAAAGGAGGCAAGGCAGTTGATCCATAGTCATAGTACCTATGCATCTTACACCACACCACCTAGAAAACACTGGCATAATAGAGCTATCGAAAAACCTTTTGAAGGCCCAGCAAATGGTTTGGAAATGACACCCACAAAAACGGGCACTGCGCTCCAAGACCTAGTACGCGCTCTAAATCCATTGCATGGTTATGTGTTCCAATAGGCAGAGTAAGTCTGAGAACTAAAAAACAGAAGGAACAAATTTACTTATCACTCCCAGGGAGATACGTGAGGAGTTTTTCCCTTCCATATTCACAAATAAATGCTCTTGGGCCTAAAAGTCCTGGTTCCCCGAGGAAGGATGCTTCTACCTGAGGATGCAGCAGAGACCCATTAAACTCTAAGCTCTGTTTGATCTTTCAGACATGGGTCTTTGTACTGCCAGCAGCCCAGGTCTATGTCCTGCTGACAGCTCACCTGTGATTTCTCCAGGAGTTGCTCTCAGCCCTCTAGATCTTGCTCTTGTCACATTATGCTCTGTCTCAAAGATAGCCTTTCCCAGCAACTAGTCAACGTGGGGGCGCAAAGGCCTATGTCTGAAAGATCACCCCAGCTTCAGAGCTGCCATCGAGTACCACGAGACCATGCAAATTGAGGACATGGTTCTGACAGTTACATATTTCAGTTAACATGTACTGTGCAAACAAAGCAAACGCTCTCTGTAACATATATGTATGTTTATAAATTTGGTTTTTTCTTAGCTTTAGGAAAATAATTTGCCACAGGACTCCTGTATTTAAGTGAGCTTTCATGCAAAAATTTTCATGAGTTATGTAAACATAAGGCAAGAATAATTTATTTCCTGGGAAGGAGTTTATATAGAGATCTTATTCTTCTCTATTTGTATCCAAGAAAGTCTTTTGCAATTACAAAAAGAAGAAAGAGGAGGAGAAAAAAGAAGAGGGAGAAAATCAAGATAAGGAGGAGAAGAAAGAGGAGGAGTATAATAAGAAGAATTTCAAGATTCTAAGTTTAGCAGCATATAAGAAGGCAGAATGACAATTACTAAAAAGTCAAGAAACAACAGATGCTGGTGAGGCTGTGGAGAGACAGGAACACCTTTACACTGTTGGTGGGATTGCAAATTAGTTCAACTATTGTGGAAGACAGTGTGGTGATTCCTCAAAGACCCAAACCAGAAATACTACTTGAGCCAGCAATCCCATTACTGGGTATATACCCAAAGGAACATAGATCATTCTATTATACAGATACATGCACGCATATGTTCACTGCAGCACTATTCACAAGAGCAAAGACATGGAATCAACCCAAATGCCCACCAACGATACACTGAATAAAGAAAATGTGGTACATACACACCATGGAATATTACAGAGCCATAAAGAGGGACGAGATCATGTCCTTTGCAGGAACATGGATGAAGCTGGAAACCATTATCCTCAGCAAACTAATGCAGGAAGAGAAAACCAAACATCACTTGTTCTTGCTTGTAAGTGGGAGCTGAACAATGAGAACACACAGACACGGGGAGGGGAACAACACACACTGGGGCCTGTCGGGTGTGGGGAAGGGGGAGGGAAAGCATCAGGAATAATAGCTAATACATGTGGGGCTTAATACCTAGGTGAGGGGTTGATAGGTACAGCAAACCACCATGGTACACACTTACCTATGTAACAAACCTGCATGTCCTGCACATGTACCCTGGAACTTAAAATAATTTTTTTTTAAAAGATGCCTATTCTCACTTGCTATTAACTTATCCCATTCAACAATCTGTCCCGGAAAACCCAGCAGTCCTTAGCTCTCTAACAATTTGCCCAAAATAGATAAATACTGAAATTATTGCCTGTGCCCAAACTCCTCCATCATCAACCTGTAACAGAGAGCTACATGGCTCTTGCCCCTGCCTGTTGGGTGCCTAAAGCATTATGTCCTACCTGGTTAAGGACTGCAAATGCAACATTGGCATTGGGTCCTGAGACATTCACAAAGACTCAGATGTAAGCATGGTTCAGCAAGCCTAGAGAAGGATTTTAGGGAGAACTGTAACAACACTGAAGTAAACTCTGAGTTTTGGTTTCCTCATCTGAGAGAACAGTTAGTTCTCCTAGACTTTCTGTCTGCTCCCTTCCAGAATGACTTTGCCAAGTTTCTGTGGTCCCCACAGACAGAGGAAGACTCGGGTGTTTGCATCTCCCGTTCAGAGGGCAGTAGCTCACCTTCCAGCTCTCCACTGTCAGTCAGCAGAACAGCCATGGCTTCTTTGTGCACCTTTCACATAGGCTGGGGAATATTACAATTTTCCAAGATTGACCCTAACTCCCTCCCCTTTCCTTAGCACAGTGCCATTTTCCACCTGGGAGAATTCTTTCCCTCACGTGGAACAACTCGCCTCGCCCTCTACGTCCTCTTTCTTTAGAGACTAGCTCCCTGGCCCTCATTATTTACCTCACTAAACTAAGAATGACATCAGAAATTGAAGAAATTAAGGTAACCATTTCTACTGTCAGAGTTCAGAAGCTGCTTGAAGCCAAATGTTCCGGAAGCATGTGAGGCCAGGGAAAAGTAATTTAGTTCTCACAACATTTTATCGGGGAGTCAAGTGGAGTCACCCCATGAAAGTAAGTCATCTGTTACACTTTTCCTCATTGAGCTGATCTCCTCAGTGAACACAGCCTTGCTCTGTAAGAGTGGTCCCCAAAGGGCCCATCTTAGAATCTCCTGGAAAGATTCTTAAAATGCAAATCCTGGGCCCCAACTTCTGAACCTCTGATTCAGTAATTAGGGGAAAACCTAAGGGTGTGCATATTTTTGTTTGTTTGTTTGTTTGTTTTGAGACAGAGTCTCACTCTGTCACCCAGGTTGGAGTGCAGTGGCGCAATTTCTGCCCACTGCAAGCTCCGCCTCCCGGGTTCACTCCATTCTCCTGCCTCAGCCTCCCAAGTAGCTGGGACTACAGGCGCCCGCCACCACGCCTGGCTAATTTTTTTTTGTATTTTTAGTAGAGACGGGATTTCACCATGTTAGCCAGGATGGCCTCGATCTCCTGACCTCGTGATCTGCCTGCCTTGGCCTCCCAAAGTGCTGGGATTACAGGCGTGAGCCACCACGCCCAGCCAAGGGTGTGCATTTCTAACAGGCTTCCAGGGAGTGCTGACCTGGCTGGCCCAGGACCCCCACTTTGCAAACCACTACTGTATACCACACTAAGTCCCTACCGTGATTGTAGGCACAACAGGTAGCCCCAAAATGGCTCCACCTTCAGTCTGCTTGGAATGGGAGTTCAGAAGAAGAGTATATCTGGATCATATTTAAGATCAGACATCACCTCTTAGAGATGCCGATTCAAATAGACCATGGTGGCAAAATCAATATGAAGAGAAATAAATGAGTACGGGGAAGAAAACTGTGGCCCTATGATATTGGCTTTCTGATCTCATCCCTGATCCACATCAAACCAATGAGCCAATTTCAAAGGGGACACTGATGGTGAGGGTGAAGAAAATCTCCAATTAGCACATCTGCAAACAGAGATTGTTGCCTGAATATTACTTTGGTTCAATAAGCTTATCAGCTGGACCCTGGAAGCCCAGCCAGTGAAAGGCTTGTAATTGTTTTTATCTACTCAGAAAACTAAATGCTGGTTCAGATGAGAATTCAATTGATTTTCAAACAGTGTTTACCTCCTTTCCCTGTCATCACACAGACAGCCAATTAATGACATGAAAGATTAATTAATGGAGAAGCTTGTGCACCGGCTGCCAAAGAGAGGATTAAATTTGGAGGTCTATGCTTTCTTCCCAGTCAGAGAGGAAAATATCCTTCAGTAATTAAAGGTTCAGTGGCAACTTTTGTCCTGGGTATTGAGACCATCCAAGTGAGGAGAAGAAAAGTTTTTTAAAAGCTGACTGGGGAGACGGAAGCTGGTAGCCAAGTCTCAGCCACCCAGTGGCACTAATCAGTGAATCCTGTGAGTCAGAGAGCAGCTCACCTTGCCAGGGATATGGGAGACATCACACAGACCCTAGGTGCACCTTCTCTCCACGTGGAGCTGAAGCAGGAAATGTAAAAAAAAAAAAAAAAAAAAAGAAAGAAAGAAAGATAAGTTCTCTGTGCTGGGCTAACTCGCTCCAAGGCCCAGTGATAAGCAGGGCTCCTGCGACAGAGCAGCAGCAACACAACTGGCTCTCCATCCCTAAGCTCCTATTCCCTCCAAAATTCTCTTAATCCACTTGTTCTTCTAAAATAAATCAATCAATAAATAAAGGTTGGCATCAAAAGTAAGATTCAATCATCTTAAAAATGCAAATTAAACAGAAAGTTTAACTGAGATTGGGAGAAAGGTGTAATCTCACCAGAACACCCTAGACTACTGCAGATAGCTTACACCAGACAGCATTTCACAGTTCACAATGTGTTCTTTCATTTGCTTTCTCTCCCATGAAACACTTCCAGTGGCCTTGAGAAGTGGGCTTCATTGGAAACTGAGGCTAGGAGAGATAAACAACTCTTGCTAATTTTTCTTGCTAAAGAATGGAGAGCTGGGCTTTAAAAGACAGACATGCGGCATCTAAGATCTTTAATTTTCATAGTGCTTCAAAGGTTCTACATATTCGTGGTCATTTAAGGTAAAATATACTTACAGGAATTAATAACAATTTGATAAGTGATGGTAAATTGAGCATTTTGAATCAGCTGGTAGGAAAACTTTATTACCATTCAAAATCACCAATGCCAAATCTACTCTCAATCCTATCTATAGGCAATGAGGCTAAGGTTGAGTGCGGTCATGAATGAGACAGGATGCCTACCAGGGAGCATAACTCATCAATTCAATCCATTCAGCAAACGTTAATTGGGCTCTTTGTCTACACCTTGCACTGTGCTCAGCACTAGGGATAGAAGAGTTACAAAAAATACCCAGACCTCTGACCTCAGCAAGTTACAGACTAGTGAGGATGATCTACTCTAATCAATAGTCATACAGCCTGTGGCACCACTAACAAGTGTACAGAGGAGGGGTGCTTGCAACCACAAGCACCAACAACAGAAATACTTTACTGTTTTTAGGTGGGCCAAGAAAAGGTTCTTAAGATTCTTGACTCTTAAACTAAAAAGAGGAGGATGAAAAATTAATTGGGAAAAGATGAGAAGGGACAAAGTTCTAGGTAGAGAGGACAGATGTGTAAATATCCAGTGGCAGAAATTCAGAAGGCAAGTGGTAGAAGGAAAGGTAGAGAGTACAAGGAGCTGAAAGGAAGCCAGTGTCTGCAGAGAAGAGAGAGTTTGGCACCAAACCATGTCAGTCCTGTGAGCCACAACCTTTTAAGCAAGGAGAAATTAGTGAACATTTTAAGCAAGAGACTGGGAAATAAGGAATGGTTAGTCAATATTTTGTTGCAAGACAACCTCAAAATCTCAGTGACTTAAAACTGAAAACTTAATTTTCATGCTCACATGCCTACAGGTTGGTTGCAGTTCAGCTGACTTAGGCTGAACCAGTTGGTTTCGAATCAGCTTTAGTGTTTTTATTTTGGGTCCAGAGTGGAGAGGTAGGCAGGCTTTCCTCACGGCATTTCATAAGAGTGGAAAAGGCAAGCAAACCACACAAGCATGGTGAATCGACATGCAGAGGCACACTAGTGTGACACGAACCCCAGCAAGATACATGGAGGAAATCAACATCAATGGAGCCGGTAAATGAGCTAACTCTAGCGGAAGTTCCTACAAAGCTCCAGGGCCAAGGATGTGGCTGTGTAATTCTGTAACAGGAAGGAAGTGAAAAATGGCCATGATGATGTAATGTACCATAAATGAAGAACGTGATCAATGTACAATTCAAAAAGCTCCACTCTGTCAATAGGATAAACTATTAGAGGGATCCAGGGTGGGTATCTCTGGGAAAGAGTCCAGAGATGGAAGCATCAAAGTTTACCTCAAGGGTGCTGAAATATGCAACTGAATAGCTGCGGGCTTCTGTAATTTATAATACAGAGGGAATAAGCGCCTTGCTGTGTGACCCAGAGAGGTGAGTCATGAAAATCTCACACCAAGAGGGCCTATGGAATGACATAACTTCCAACTCTACAATATGCAACTTACCAACTAAACAATACTGTAAAATAAAGGCTACAGCTCATGCATCAGGGAAGTGACCATGTGACACAGCTGCAACCCAGGACAATTTCAAGGGTGATAGGAAACAAATAGGAACACGTGGTCACCTCATGATTAGCAAAATGCTTCACAAACAAATCCCCATGGTTATTTCAAAAACTTTAGATTTTTGCTATTCTGAGTATTGCTATCATGGGTAGCTTGGAGACTCATGATGCTGTACAGCTGACCGTTGAACCACATGAGTTTGAACTGGATGAGTCCACTTATGTGTGGGTTTTTTCAATAGCTATATTGAAAAATATTTTGTAGGTTTGTGACAATTTTAAAAAATTCAGATTCATTGCACAGCCTAGAAATATCAAAAAAGTAAGAAAAAGTTAGATATGTCATGAATGAATGAAATACAGGTAGACACTAGCCTATTTTATCTAAAGCTGGAGACTCTGATGCCAGGAAAGGATGGTTTGATAATTTCAGAAAGACATTTGCCTTTAAAAAAAATGTCAAGATAAGCTTCTGCCAACCAAGAGTCATTAGATGAGTTTCTAGATGTCATTAAGAAAATCACTGAGGTGAAATGATATCTGCCTGAACAGGTTTTTAATGCACATCAAGGTACCCTATCTGGAAAAAACAAAATGCCACAATGGATACTTAACAGGAAGAGAAACAAATTCCAGGATTTAAGGCAGGAAAGGATAGGCTCTCTACTGTTTTGTGAAAACGCAATAGGGTTGATGATCAGGACTGCCATTATCTCTTATATAAAGTGCTAACCCCTGAGCACTGAAGAAGAAAGATAAACAACAGCTGCCCATCTTTTGGTTGTACAATAAGAAGGACTGGACAATTAGAATCCTTTTTCTGGATTGGTTCCATTGATGCTTTGTCTCTGAAGTCAGGAAGTACCTTGGCAGTAAGAGATTGCCTTTTTCAATATTAACTTTAAATGTAAATGGACTAAATGCTCCAATTAAAAGACACAGACTGGCAAATTGGATAAAGAGTCAAGACCCATCAGTGTGCTGTATTCAGGAAACCCATCTCACATGCAGAGACACACATAGGCTCAAAATAAAAGGATGGAGGAAGATCTACCAAGCAAATGGAAAACAAAAAAAGGCAGGGGTTGCAATCCTAGTCTCTGATAAAACAGACTTTAAACCAACAAAGATCAAAAGAGACAAAGAAGGCCATTACATAATGGTAAGGGATCAATGCAACAAGAAGAGCTAACTATCCTAAATATATATGCACCCAATACAGGAGCACCCAGATTCATAAAGCAAGTCCTGAGGGACCTACAAAAAGACTTAGACTCCCACACAATAATAATGGGAGACTTTAACACCCCACTGTCAACATTAGACAGATCAACGAGACAGAAAGTTAACAAGGATACCCAGGAATTGAACTCAGCTCTGCACCGAGCGGACCTAATAGACATCTACAGAACTCTCCACCCCAAATCAACAGAATATACATTTTCTTCAGCACCATACCACACCTATTCCAAAATTGACCACATAGTTGGAAGTAAAGCTCTCCTCAGCAAATGTAAAAGATCAGACATTATAACAAACTGTCTCTCAGACCACAGTGCAATCAAACTAGAACTCAGGATTAAGAATCTCACTCAAAACTGCTCAACTACATGGAAACTAAACAAGCTGCTCCTGAATGACTACTGGGTACATAACGAAATGAAGGCAGAAATAAAGATGTTCTTTGAAACCAACGAGAACAAAGACACAACATACCAGAATCTCTGGGACACACTCAAAGCAGTGTGTAGAGGGAAATTTGTAGCACTAAATGCCCACAAGAGAAAGCAGGAAAGATCCAAAATTGACACCCTAACATCACAATTAAAAGAACCAGAAAAGCAAGAGCAAACACATTCAAAAGCTAGCAGAAGGCAAGAAATAACTAAAATCAGAGCAGAACTGAAGGAAATAGAGACACAAAAAACCCTTCAAAAAATTAATGAATCCAGGAACTGGTTTTTTGAAAGGATCAACAAAATTGATAGACCACTAGCAAGACTAATAAAGAAGAAAAGAGAGAAGAATCAAATAGACGAAATAAAAAATGATAAAGGGGATATCACCACCAATCCCACAGAAATACAAACTACCGACAGAGAATACTACAAACACCTCTACACAAATAAACTAGAAAATCTAGAAGAAATGGATAAATTCCTTGACACATACACCCTCCCAAGACTAAACCAGGAAGAAGTTGAATCTCTGAATAGACCAGTAACAGGCTCTGAAATTGTGGCAATAATCAATAGCTTACCAACCAAAAAGAGTCCAGGACCAGATGGATTCACAGCCGAATTCTACCAGAGGTACAAGGAAGAACCGGTACCATTCCTTCTGAAACTATTCCAATCAATAGAAAAAGAGGGAATCCTCCCTAACTCATTTTATGAGGCCAGCATCATCCTGATACCAAAGCCGGGCAGAGACACAACCAAAAAAGAGAATTTTAGACCAATATCCTTGATGAACATTGATGCAAAAATCCTCAATAAAATACTGGCAAACCGAATCCAGCAGCACCTCAAAAAGCTTATCCACCATGATTAAGTGGGCTTCATCCCTGGGATGCAAGGCTGGTTCAATATATGAAAATCAATAAATGTAATCCAGCATATAAACAGAACCAAAGACAGAAACCACATGATTATCTCAATAGATGCAGAAAAGGCCTTTGACAAAATTCAACAACGCTTCATGCTAAAAACTCTCAATAAATTAGGTATTGATGGGATGTATCTCAAAATAATAAGAGCTATTTATGACAAACCCACAGCCAATATCATACTGAATGGGCAAAAACTGGAAGCATTCCCTTTGAAAACTGGCACAAGACAGGGATGCCCTCTCTCACCACTCCTATTCAACATAGTGTTGGAAGTTCTGGCCAGGGCAATTAGGCAGGAGAAGGAAATAAAGGTTATTCAATTAGGAAAAGAGGAAACCAAATTGTCCCTGTTTACAGACGACATGATTGTATATCTAGAAAACCCCATTGTCTCAGCCCAAAATCTCCTTAAGCTGACAAGCAACTTCAGCAAAGTCTCAGGATACAAAATCAATGTACAAAAATCACACGCATTCTTATACACCAATAACAGACAAACAGAGAGCCAAATCATGAGTGAACTCCCATTCACAATTGCTACAAAGAGAATAAAATATCTAGGAATCCAACTTACAAGGGACATGAAGGACTTCTTCAAGGAGAACTACAAACCACTGCTCAATGAAATAAAAGAGGATACAAACAAATGGAAGAACATTCCATGCTCATGGGTAGGAAGAATCAATATCATGAAAATGGCCATACTGCCCAAGGTAATTTATAGATTCAATGCCATCCCCATCAAGCTACCAATGACTTTCTTCACAGAATTGGAAAATACTACTTTAAAGTTCAGATGGAACCAAAAAAGAGCCCGCATCGCCAAGTCGATCCTAAGCCAAAAGAATAAAGCTGGAGGCATCACGCTACCTAACTTCAAACTATACTACAAGGCTACAGTAACCAAAACAGCATGGTACTGGTACCAAAACAGAGATATAGACCAATGGAACAGAACAGAGCACTCAGAAATAACACCGCATATCTACAACTACCTGATCTTTGACAAACCTGACAAAAACAAGCAATGGGGAAAGGATTCCCTATTTCATAAATGGTGCTGGGAAAACTGACTAGCCATATGTAGAAAGCTGAAACTGGATCCATTCCTTACACCTTATACAAAAATTAATTCAAGATGGATTAAAGACTTAAACATTAGACCTAAAACCATAAAAACCCTAGAAGAAAACCTAGGCATTACCATTCAGGACATAGGCATGGGCAAGGACTTCGTGTCCAAAACACCAAAAGCAATGGCAACAAAAGACAACATTGACAAATGGGATCTAATTAAACTAAAGAGCTTCTGCACAGCAAAAGAAACTACCATCAGAGTGAACAGGCAACCTACAACATGGGAGAAAATTTTTGCAACCTACTCATCTGACAAAGGGCTAATATCCAGAATCTACAATGAACTCAAACAAATTTACAAGAAAAAAACAAACAACCCCATCAAAAAGTGGGCGAAGGACATGAACAGACACTTCTCAAAAGAAGACATTTATGCAGCCAAAAAACACATGAAAAAATGCTCACCATCACTGGCTATCAGAGAAATCCAAATCAAAACCACAATGAGATACCATCTCACACCAGTTAGAATGGCAATCATTAAAAAGTCAGGAAACAACAGGTGCTGGAGAGGATGTGGAGAAATAGGAACACTTTTACACTGTTGGTGGGACTGTAAACTAGTTCAACCATTGTGGAAGTCAGTGTGGCGATTCCTCAGGGATCTAGAACTAGAAATACCATTGGACCCAGCCATCCCATTACTGGTTATATACCCAAAGGACTATAAATCATGCTGCTATAAAGACACATGCACACGTATGTTTACTGCGGCTCTATTCACAATAGCAAAGACTTGGAACCAACCCAAATGTCCAACAATGATAGACTGGATTAAGAAAATGTGGCACGCATACACCATGGAATACTATGCAGCCATAAAAAATGATGAGTTCATGTCCTTTGTAGGGATATGGATGAAGCTGGAAACCATCATTCTCAGTAAACTATCCCAAGAACAAAAAACCAAACACCGCATATTCTCACTCATAGGTGGGAATTGAACAATGAGAACACATGGACACAGGGAGGGGAACATCACACTCTGGGGACTGTTGTGGGGTGGGGGGAGGGGGGAGGGATAGCTTTAGGAAATATACGTAATGCTAAATGACAAGTTAATGGGTGCAGCACACCAGCATGGCACATGTGTACATATGTAACTAACCTGCACATTGTACACATGCACCCTAAAACTTAAAGTATAATAATAAAAAAATAAAAAATAAATAAATAAATAAATAAAGTTCTTTTGATATTGGACAATACCCCTGGCCACTCAGCACCTCATGAGTTCAACACTGAAAGCGTTGAAGTGGTATACTTGGTCCCAAACACAATGTATCTAATTCAGCCTCTATATCAGGGGACCATAAAGACTTTTAAGGTTTATAACATATGAAACTCTGTGGAAAAGATTGTCAATACTATGAAAAAGAACTCTGATAGAGAGAACATCATGGAAGTCTGAAATGATTGCACCATTGAAGTTGACATTGTTGTTTTAGAAAATCATGAAAGTCATCAGGCCCAAAACTATAAATTCCTGCTAGAGAAATGTATTTTCCAGATGTTGTACATGACCTCACAGGATTTATGACAAAGCCAATCAAGAAAATCATGAAAGAGATTGTGGCTACGACAAAAAAGGTGGGGAGTGAAGAGTTTCAAGATACAGATCTTGGAGAAATTTAAGAGCTAACAGACACCAAACCAGAGGAATTTACAGAAGAGGACTTGAGAGAGTTAACTGCTTCAGAACCAGTGCCAGACGATGAGGAGGAAGACGTAGAAGAAGCAGTGCCGGAAAACACATTGACATTAGACAATCTGGCAGAAGGGTACTAATTATTCAATACTGCTTTTGGTTTCTTTTACTACATGAACGCTTCAACGATACAGGGACTATAACTGCAGCAAACTGTGGAAGAATTGGTATCATATAGAAACATTTTCAGAGATATGAAAAAGCAAAAAAGTCAGACAGAAATTGCTACATATTTCTTTTTTTTTTCTTCTGTTTCTTCAATCATTATTCCTTTTTTTTTATTATACTTTAAGTTTCAGGGTACATGTGCACATTGTGCAGGTTAGTTACATATGTATACATGTGCCATGCTGGTGCGCTGCACCCACTAACTCGTCATCTAGCATTAGGTATACCTCCCAATGCTATCCCTCCCCACTCCCCCCACCCCACAACAGTCCCCAGAGTGTGATGTTCCCCTTCCTGTGTCCATGTGATCTCATTGTTCAATTCCCACCTATGAGTGAGAATATGCGGTGTTTGGTTTTTTAGTCAGGAAAAAAAGTCATTAAAAAGCTACATATTTCTTTAAAGTATGTCAGGCATGCTTGCCTCTCCTGTGTCCCCTTCTGTTTTTTGTTTTTGTTTTTGTTTTTGTTTTTGTTTTTAAGACAGAGTCTCACTCTGTCACCCAGGCTGGAGTGCAGTGGCGCAATCTCGGCTCACTGCAACCTCCACCTCCCAGGTTCAAGCAATTCTCTGCCTCAGCCTCCCAAGTAGCTGGGATTACAGGCACCCACTACGACGCCCAGATAATTTTTGTATTTTTAGTAGAGATGGAGTTTCACCATCTTGGCTAGCCTGGTCTTGAACTCCTGACCTTGTAATCCACCCGCTTCAGCCTCCCAATCCTGTGTCCCCTTCTACCTCCTCTCCTACTTCTGCCTCTCCTGAGATAAAACCAACCATTCCTCTTCCTCCCCCTCAGCCTACTCAACATGAAGATGATAGGGATAAAGACCTTTATGATGATCCACTTCCGCTTAGTAAATAGTAAATATATTTTCTATTCCTTATGATTTTCTTAACATTTTCATTTCTTTGGCTTCCTTTATTGTAAAAATACAGTATACAATACATATAACATACAAAATATGTGTCAATCGACTGTTTAGGTTATCAGGAAGGCTTTCACTCAACAGTAGGCTATTAGTAATTAAGTTTTTGGAGAGTCAAAAGTTAGACACATATTTTTGGCTGCATAGGGGATCAGTGCCTTAACCCCCACATTGTAAAAGGGTCAACTGTACCGGAAATGTATGATGTGTTTAGGCAACACAAACTTCCTACATGTTTTTGCCCAGAAAAGATTCGTCAATGAATTTTTTTTTTTTTTTTTTTTTTTAGTTCTTGGAAGAGCTATATAATTTTAAGGGAAAAAGAAACTAACTCCAGTTGAAGTACTGAAGAAAAATTTCTGGAGAAGGTGACATTTGAATTGAACTATGAACAGCCAGTAGACAACATAAAGAAAAAGAGCATTTTGAGGTCCAGGGAAGTACGTGAACAAATAATAAACCAAGACAATATTATGGAGGTAGGAAATGGCATATCGTGCTTGGGAAACAGTAAGTAGTCTTGACTCTAATGGCAATTTCTATGTGTTTTCTTCAATTTAATTTTTTTCCTCTCAAGGAATAAATGAATGCAGATTTCACAGAAAGTTTATTTATGTACCATGTTATCTTATTTAGCAATGGCAATTTTCCGAAGAAGGTAAATATTTATGAAGTTGTAGTTCACTGTAGATAAAAGACAAAACTTGTTCTAAGAAACATTCAGTGTAAGAATTATAGTGGTGATTTAAAAAACCATTGGCTGCAATGCTTGATAACATTCGATGTAATTATCAAAAAGGTTACTGAGTCAGCAGAAGACACTGCGAATCAGTAAAAGCCTAGAATTGGAAATGGCTCGGAACTGATAAATACAGTTCAGGGAATAGAAGAAAAAGTAAACATCTCCATGCAAATCAACAGATAACAGTGCCTTTCTTATACAGTTAAATGTGAAAGTTGCCATATTTAATTCTCCAGTTGAGTTCATTATGCAGAAAAGTAGTTAATGTGACAAGTAGCCTGGGTTTCCAAGCCTGTGTGATTGCCTGATGCTAAGAAAATATCTCAGGGATACTGACATCACAGGAGTAAAGGACTTAACGAGAATCTTGCAACACCCACTCGATGTATATTGAATGAATGCAGAAATTAGTGAATCTAAAAACACAGTGCTTGAAGGAGACAGAAGTGTATGTATTAGGCTCTGAGAAGAAGAAACAGTTGAGGTTATTAGTGTAAAGATATGAGAATTGAAATAATTCAGTTCATGCAATAACAACATAACAATAAGGACCACCTACAATTCATTCATTCTGTAAATTTTTGTTGAATACTTACTACATAACCAGAGACTCTAAAAGTAAATAAATTTTCTGCCCTCTGGGAGGAAGATAATAAACATGCATAAATCAATTTCCGTAGTGATAAATACTATGAATAAAAATAAAGCAGGGTAGGAGAGCAATAGTCATGCTAGTTTAGACGAGGAAAAGTTTCTCTTACATTTGAATCATTACTCAGTTTACGATGCACTTCCATAGACTTGGTTATTTCACTTAACCTTTAAAACAGAATGTAATTTAGATCCTGTTTATACTTTTAAAAATGAGAAGACCTAGAGAAGTTTACAGAATCGCCCAGTGTGAGTGCTTTACAAATACCATCTCATACAGTCTTCACATGATGTTTCAGCAGGCTTCTTCTCTTAAAAATTCCTGCCTTAGGTTTGAAGTTGTTGTTAAAATTATAAAGTTACAAGTTATTGTAAATACAAAATTATAATTTTATAGATAATATACATTATATTATATATTAGATTTTGTCTTTATAATGTAAATTATATATTATATAATATGTAATTTAATTTTAAAAGCATAAGTTATTATACAAATTCCTGCTATACATTTGAAGGTTAAAAGTCAGTAAATGGCAGAGTCAGACACAGTGTGGTGATGCCAAAACCTTGCCCATCCTGCTGCATAGGAGCTTCTTGGCTTCTTCATCTTGGGCCAGGACATTTAAAAAATCTCTAAGTTGCCTCTCCCTTCGCAGAGTAGGGAAGGGTAGTGGCTGAGGAGTTAAGTGGAGAAGCACTGTATATCTGTAAATTATTTATAACGTGGTACTCAAATTATTGTCATGTTCTTCCTTTGTTGAAAACACTGGAAGTTCACTGAAAAGAAAACTGGGAGAGATTCCAAATTTCCCCCAATACTACAAATTTTAACATTTACTCCAGCCTGATTTCTATAACACAAATAGATTTTTGTGTACTGATTTCTGTAGTATCAGTGTCTCTTTTCTAATTGCCATCATGGATTCTTTACATATACATTTTTCATTGAATAACTTTCCATTTCTACCTTTCTATGGGAAGGAGCAATCGTGTGAGGGGAAGAAAGGGAGAGAGAAAAAAACAAAATGATCCTACTACTCAAACGAGTTGACACTCCAAAATTACAAAACATATAAAATATACAAGAAAATATATTTAACAGAAACAACTAATGGAATACGAACAAATTCAAAGTTAAATGCTCTACCAAAGAGTTTAAAATAAGTATTTTAATCTGATCAAAGAGAAAAATGAAGGGATAATATCCAAAAAAAACCCCAGAAATTATTAAACAAAGACAATCACATAGAAATAATTAGAACTCTTTGAACTAGAAACTATAGTAATCAAACTAAAAAACAAAACTCCATAGGCAAGATAATGGCTATAATCAACACAATTGTGTTTAAATAAAAGCCTGTACTTTTGTTTCTACTCCGCAGTTTTGAACAAAAATGCCTCTGAAAATTGTTAAATCTATAATTCAAAATGAACCATTGTTTATTCTTCAACATCCTCAAATTGATAAGAGACAACCTTCCAGGAGAGTAAGAAACATATATGAAGTGACAATGCAAAGAGAAAACCCAAATCATCAGTAAATATATGAAAACTTGCTAAATCTCATTCTTCAACAAGGAAATGCAATTTAAAATAATAGGGTTTCATTTCACAGACATGAGATCAGAAAAATTTAAAGCATCTAACAGAAACAGTCATTGGTGAGGATGTGACTAGGGGAAGTCCCATACTATACTGATGAGCATAAATTGGTACATCTAATTTGGAGAGTAATTTGCAATATCTATAAAAGTTGAAGGTACAAATATACTTCAGCCTGCCATTTTTCTTTCTAGATCACCACCTTTGAAAGAGCTCATACATAAGGAGATGCATATGATAATTTTTGGTACAGCATTGTCTGTAATAGTCAAACATAGTTAAAACACACTAATTGTTTATTAAGAATAGAAAAGCTGGCCAGGTGCAATAGCTCACGCCTAAAATCCCAGCACTTTGGGAGACTGAGGCGGGTGGATCACCTGAGGTCAGGAGTTCGAGAAAAGTCTGGCCAACATGGTGAAACGCTGTCTCTACTAAAAATACAAAAATTAGCCAGGTGTGGTGGTGGGCACCTATAATCCCAGCTACTTGGGAGGCTGAAGCACGAGAATTGCTTGAACCTGGGAGGCAGAGGTTGAAGTGAGCCAAGATTGTGCCACTGCACTCTAGCCTGGATGACACAGTGAGACTCCATCTCAAAAAAAAAAAAAAAAGAAAAGAAAAGAGAGAAAAGCTAAAGAGACAATAAGTGCTATATTCATTTACTGCAGTATATATGAGTTAAAATTTAAATGAATGAAAAAGAGCATCTATCAACATAGTTATATCTCAAATGATTATGTTGACATAAAATAGCAAGTCAAAAAAGATATTACATGCATAATACCACATTACAAACTTTAAATCATATAAAACAATATGATATTTGTATGGACACATATATATGTATGGTAAAAATGTAATTACCCATGGGAATAAAGTTCAGGATCATGGATAACTATTAAAAGAGAAGGTAAGAAATTAGTTAATATGGGGACATGAGATTTTAACTGCATCTGTAATATTTTCTCTCATTTAAAAAAACTGGCTGGGCACTGTGGCTCACGCCTGTAATCCCAGCACTTTGGGAGGCCGAGGCGGGCGGATCACGAGGTCAGGAGATTGAGGCCATCCTGGCTAACACGGTGAAACCCCGTCTCTACTAAAAATACAAAAAAATTAGCTGGACATGGTGGCGGGCACCTGTAGTCCCAGCTACTTGGGAGGCTGAGGCAGGAGACTACATGAACCCGGGAGGCAGAGCTTGCAGTGAGCCAAGATGGCGCCACTGCACTCCAGCCTGGGTGACAGAGGGAGACGCTGTCTCAAAAAAAAAAAAAAAAAAAAAAAAAAAAAACTGGAGGGTGATAAATAGAATAGTGGAGCAGAACAGAGATCCCAGAAATCAATACAAACATTTACGGTAACTCGATTTAGTACAAAGGAGACACTGCCATGCTGTGGGTAAAAGATGATTTTTTTTATACATAGTACTGGATATTGACAGCCATGAGGAAGACAGTGAATCTTGAACCCGACCTAATACTAGACACAAAAGTCAACTCACAATAAATTATAGACCTAAATATGAAAACAAAAGCAATAGAATTTTCAGAGGAAAACATGTTTATGACCATAGGGTAGGTAAACATTTCTAAGCATGATATAAAAACCCTAAGCATAGAAAAAATAAGATAAATTGGACTAGAAATTTATGTTCAGAACAAAACATTATTAAGGGATTGAAAAGGCAAATCATAGAGCCAGAGAGGATAATTGAAATGCATATATTTACATATATTGAATATATGCATACATTGAAATACGTATATCTGACAAAGGACTCATCCAAAAAATATAAGATTGACAATTAAACAATTTTTGAAAAGATAAATAACCTCATTGAAAAAAATGGAAAAAGAGCTTGAACAGGTACTTTACTATATTGAGGTGGTCAATAAATATGTAAAAAGGAATCAGATTTATTAATCATTAGGAAAATACAAGTGAAAACCATAGGGAGTACTACTTTATACACATCAGAATGCCTAATTTAAAACGACACTATATCCAATGCTTGGAGTGATATGAAGAAGCAGGAGCTTTATACTCTGCTGATGGGAGTGCAAATTGTTTCAACCACTTTGGCAAATTTGTTAGCAGAATCTATTCAAGCTAAACATACCTTAGGACCCAGCAATTCCACTCCTAGGTATGTACCCAACAGAAATGCAACAACATCTTCACTTAAAAACATGTAAATAAACATTCGTAGCTGTTTTATTCATAATAGCCAAAAAGTGGAAACAACTCAAATGTGCATCAACTGTAGAATGTTAAATAGGCTGTGGTACATTCATACGATGGAGCTCCACAGAGCAATGAGAGGACACGAACTATTACTACATACAGCAACCACTGGGAAGGGAGGGGACCTGTGGAGTGTTCTGGTCCAGGTGAAAGCGCACTCTTTCTCTCTCTCCCTCTCTCAATCTCTGTCTCCGTCTAGGTACAGACAGATTACATGGGTGAGTTCACCTTGTGAAAATTTGTTGGTGATATTGTATGTCAATAAAAATTTTTTTAATTTTTCAGGAAAATGAAAATAGGGATAAAAACCCATGGAAACACAGGAGGGAATAATGCAGGCTGGATTCTGTGAGAACTGAAACCAAAAGGCAAGCCCAGGGACCTTCCGCATTTGCAGGTCTGTTCGTCTATGGGCTCCCATGCTGGCTCTCTCTTGGAGCTCCCAGCGGATAGAAAGAGCAGGCTTTAAGCTCATCACAAGACTAAAGGATTTTAAGCTCCACGTGTTCCTTAAGTAAACTTGATATTTTTATTTGATGCAGGCAAAGTCTTTATGTTCAAAGCTCCTTTCATGTTCTGTACTGACAGAGGCATGTGGTTCTTTCTGTTGATACTGAAATATCGCCTTGGTTTTGTCTTGCCCTCAAAGGAGGTATTTTAAATTGTTCAGCTGCAAAATGGAAAGCTCTACAGGTTGAGTTGCTAAAGCTCTATTTGGAATTCACCAAAGAAGCTGATTCTTACTCTACACAGAATTCCCCTCCAAAGCTGACCCCCTGCTGCATAGTTTTGTCTGTGTGTTGGTTTGGGCAAAGCACTAAAACCAAAATTTTCACTGCAGCTCCTTTGCTGTCTTACAAAAAGGTCTTGAGGCAATTTGCAGGATCCTTACATTCACTGTAAGCACAATTTGAAAGCCACCGACATAAATCGACCACAGTATTTGACAGATGCACACACTTATTTGTTAACTTCAGCAAACATCTGCTGAATGCTTCATATACTGGTTATCTACTAGGTAACTCAGTGTTGTACACTACATGGCTTATAGCACAAACATTTGTACCCGGGGCCCTTGCCCTCTTATGTGGTGCCATTTCCACTCCCTATGTCTCCTCCACGCCTCTGAAATCCAGGGTACCTTCTTAAGCCGCTTCAAACTGTTCAACATAAAGGAAAAAGTTCCAGGAAAGACTCCTCATCTATTTGCCAAGAGGATTAAGATCTGGACAAGACAGGAGCCAGATAATGTGTTGATGAATATTGTCTTTCCTTCACAACAAGGAGAAGGTAAAAAAAAGAAGGTTTCCTACCATTCTTCACCTCCAAAATGGAGATCAGATCCCCATGATTGGCACCAGGAAAGAATCAAAGTAATATTTTTTGCTTTCGAAGGAAAGATAAACCAGAAAGCAGTAATGTTAAATGTTCACTCTCTTAGACTTTAACTTTCTCCAACCAGGACAAATGTATTTTCCAGTGCATGGTAAGTTTCAGTAAGGCATTCTCACCTATTAAATTGATAATTGGGATGCCAGGGATGCACTTGGCAGACAGATACATTGTCACCTTGGAGGACCTTTTCATTGCACAAAACCCTCTCTATAATAAACCCGAAAAGTGATTGTGCCATTGTTGAACAAAATTTGTTCACAGAAAATTCTCTAGTAAATTAAGCCAAAAGGTCCCTCTCTGCAATTTTTGTCATTCAAAATTGGTTTCACAAAAACTGTCTAGTAAATTAAGCCAAAAAGTCCCTCTGTGTAATATTTCTCATTCTGAATTTTGCCTTTGGGAAGAGCATATTACAAGTTTAATCCCTCTTTACTTTGACAGTTCTTCAAGGATTTAAAAACCACAAGCATATTACCCACCATAAGCCTTTTCTTGTCAAAATTAGAAAAGATCTAGCTTTTATTTTTAGATTATAAAATCAATATAAGTTCTTATAAAAATAAGTTTAAAATCAAAATATTAATATGAAAACTTTAAAAATTACCATTATCCAGAAAATAACCATTGCTAATATTTTGTTGTATATTTCTTTAAACTAATTTTTATGCCTAAATATAATCTGCATGTTTAAAAATGGGTTCATGCTATATATAGTGTTTCAAACTTTAGAAGTTCACATAATATATAATGAACATTTCTCCTTATCAAAAGTAGATAGACCTCCAGTTCTAGAAAAAGATAACCCAGATTTGCTTTTCCTTCACCTAAGTACAACTAAATACACTGGAAATTATTCAACAGGTAACAATAAAGGGACTGTGGGAACTGGAAAGAAGGCAGACTTGTTAGAGATCTTAGGACCTGAGGAACATCGATGTTGTAAGGTTTCTGGTTATTGTCTTACCGCCCACATGCCCCAGACTAGGCTCTGGAGAGATCTGCAACCCCAAACCACCAAAAAGCATAGACAAAAACAAGCAAGCAAAATATGAAGCAAACAAAAAAAGCCTAGTCTCTAGGGCTAAAGGACTGGGAAGTCAGGGAAGCTCAACTTCTGCTCCACAACCAGCAGGTGGTCTCACTCACCTGCCCCAGAGCAGCAAACCTCCTGCACAATTAGGGCACTGGTGGGCAGCCTGCTCTGCTGACAGTGGCAGCAGCAGTGAAACCCAGTGTCTCCCTGCTCTCCACCCAGTGACATGAGTCTCAGGCTTGGTGTCTCCTGACCCTGTCCTTCTATAGAAAGTGGACCAGTGACACCAGGCAACCCAGGGAAGTGCCTTCCACTCTTGTAGTTGTCATCAGTGGGGACTGTGAAGTTCCAGCTGCACCAGAAAAACACAGCACCCCAGAAGAGCATTGCCAGGGCTCTGAACACTACTATCATTGGAATTAAAGCTCACAGAATGAGCCTAGAACCTGTGATAAACCTAAACAAAGCCACTGCTTGCTAAAATCAAAGATTTAAATAGGATCAAGAGCCTCCTAACATAATGAAGTGTTCAAGATAAAATAAAAATCTGTTGTGCCAGGAACCAGGAATACCACAATTTGAATTAGAAAAGACAGTCAATTGATAGCTATACGGAGATCAGATGTTAAAATTATCTGCTAAAAGTACCCACTGTAAAAAGGTTTCAACAATCAATTACAAATTATCCTGGGAAAAAGGAAAAAATGTAGCAAATCTCAGAAAAGAAATAGAAATTATAAAAAGGAATAAAATGAAAATTACAGAACTAAAAACTTTCAAAATTTAAACTTGCTGAATGGACTTAATAGAGTGAAGATAATAAAAGTTAGAATTAGTGAACTCAAATCAGAGAGATTAATAGAATTTACTCAATCTGAACAGAGAAAATAGACTGGAAATAAAAAATGAACAGAGCTTCGGAGATCTGCGGGACAATAACAAAAGATCCCAGAAGGAGAAGAGAAGAGAAAGGCTATAAAATGGAAAAGATTAAGAAAAAAAGAAAGGCTAAAAATTTCCCAAAAGAAGCAAAGGCATAACCTACAGGTTCAAGAAGCCAGATGAATCCCAAACAAATTAAAACTAAAGAAATTTATACCAAGACACAACATAAACTTCTGAAAACTAAAGAAAAAAATCTTAAAAACAGCCAGAGAGAAAAGACATATTATACAGAATTTAATTCAGATGACAGCAGATTTATCATCTAAAATCACGGAGTTAAGAGGGAAGAGGCAAAACATTTTTTTTCAGCTGAAGAACGAAAAGAATCATCAACTCTGCATTCAATGCCTGTCAAAACTGTCCCTTGGGAAGAGGGAAATTAAGATAGTCTCAAATTAAGGAAAACTAAGAGAATTTATTGCTAGCACACCTACCCTTAAAGAAGCTCTCCAACAGAAAGATAATGATAACATTAAGTAGGCTATGGCATTCAGAATAGAAAGGATTAAAAATAAAGGTAAACATAGTAGGATATCCTTCACTTAATGAGTTTCTTGAGTTATATTTTACATTCCTATTACTTATAACAATACACAGTATGTGCTCAATGTACGTAGAAGGGTAGAAGGAATACTTGAGACAATTATATGAAAACGTAGGGAGGTATAGAGACCTAAATAAAAGTACATTGTCTATACTTGAAATGGATAAAACATCAATACCAGTAGCCTGTACTGAGATATATATATGTTAATACCTAGAGCAATCACTGAGAAAGCTGTATAAGGTAATATGGTGAAAATATTATTTAAAAAACAAAATAGAACTCAAACTTTTTTTTGAGTAGCCCATAGGAAGGCGAGAAAAAAGATACAGAAACAAGAAACAGAGGAAATGGAAAACAATAAACAGACTTAAGCCCCAATATATCTGCAATTATTTTAAGTGAAGAGATGTTGTTTCCATTCCCAAAAGGAAGAAAATGAATTCTGAAAATAATAGACTGCTTAGCTTCATGATTATCCTGGCCAAAAACTCTATAATGAAATAATTACATGTTAAGTCAACCCAATGGAGCAGGGGGTGAGGAATTACATGGTACGTGGTGATACAGTCCATTTTGTGAAATCCTGTGGATGTGTATCAAGTTAGAAATTATTAATAACTGCATTTTGATGACATAAACTATATAGCAGTAATGGACTAGTTAACTCGCTAACCCCCAAAGGCTTTACATACTTTCCAAACATGTATATAGGTAAAGTAGTAACTAATGTTCACAAACATTTGTAACTTATAAACTTTTTATATTTTTTTAGCCACAGAGCAAAACTATAAACTAGGTATTATTATCCACAAACAAATTTTGAAGAAACCACAGCTGAGATTGGCTCGACTAAGGTCATGCTGCCAGCAAGTAAGAGCACTGAGACCCCAATCTAGATCTTCTGACTGCAAATGCCATCATTTTCCCACCTTATCTTGCACTTCCCCAAGGGTTCCAGGGAGTATGGTTACTCTCAGCATTTCTCACAAGACTCACAAGATGTGAGAAACAGGGACGTAGAGTTTATGATGTTATAAACATGAATCTCACAGGTGGGATTAAGCCAGACTGAGAGAATAAAATCTTCTAATTTTGGAGATAAATTTTCTCAATATCCTAAGTTCAACAGAAGAGCTTTCACTAACCCTTAAAATAGGCCATTCTGAACATTTAATACACCTTTACTGAACATTTACTACATGTAAAGAACAGTGCAGGACCTCATGTGGAACAACAGAGTTCCTTCCCCAAATAAGGAACTGAATGAGATGAGCAAATGCATAGTTCTCTGCAATAGTATGAGTCGGGAATCAGTCAGGGAAGGACAGCCACTAGAAGTGCTACAGGCTGAGTGGTTCGTGGCAGGACTTAGACCTTCACAAATGTGGGAGCTGCCGAGGGAAATGAAGGTCTGGAGCGGACACTGGAGGATCAGAGAAAACATCACTAAGCAGTCTGCCTGAAGCCTTAGAAGGGTGGGCAAATCAGAAGCGGTGTATGTGAGGGAACATGGGCCTGTGAAGGGAGCGTTTATGAAGAAGGCTTTGGGAAGCCGTGGCCTCTGGGGAACCGTGGCCTCTGCAGATCCATCACTAAGCATGTGGCGGTGAGCCTGGGGTCACTGTTGGTCAGCAGGCTTGGTAGTCAGGAAGAAAGCCAAGTTCACAGCAGTGGAGAGCAAGGACAAGCTGGAACCCGCAAATCTCAGCCTCAGTCTGGTCACCACATTTTACCAAGATATTCACAGAATAATAACAGCTGCTCTCTTCCCACCTCCCAAATCCATTACAAATTCCTCTTTTGGCCAACTCTAACTTGGAACAAAACAAGGAAAGAGATTCTGGGAAACAATGGTCCCACCCCAGTGTAACTGTGTTGACAATAAAACTGCAGTACAACCAGTTATATCGTGCACTATAGCTGTGGTACAAACAACATACAATAGGCAGAGGAAAGGGGGAGCGTGGCAGGGACCTCCGGGGGCCCGGTCTTGGGGAAACCCAGCCTCCACATTTCTCTCTTCTCTTTATTAAAACACTCCAATCTAATGGGAATTATGCTGGTTCCAGAAGTTGAGTCTTTATCAGCATTTAACTGCATAATTCTCTAATATGAGACACAATTTCCTAATTTATAAATGAAGAATAATAAGTCATACCTCAAAGAATCCTGCAAATCACATGAGAAATTATAAGCCAAAGCTCCCGGTAGACAACAGATACTCAACTAATGTTGCCCGCCCTCTCTCCCACCTCCCTCCTCTCCTCCAGCCCTTGTGCTTCGGAGACTAATATTAATTTTTCGGCCAAGTGTCACCCCTGGTCTCCACCAATGACCTGCTAAACACATAGAATCTTGCTAAATGCCCCAATAAAACAATTCTTAAATACACCATGCCCTCTATATTTGCCCTTTAAATAATGGAAACCATGTTTTCAAAGCATTCCAATACTCCTTTTCTAAAGTAGTATCTAAAATGTATCAGCTCTCAGAAGGTGCCAAGATCTGTAGGATATATATGAGTATAAAACTTAGGGACTTAAATGTTCCATTCCAGGTGTCCATCGAGGAATGATTTTCCTATTCTTTTTACGTGAACTCTTTGTTCACCATTGAGGTTTGCATTTTTACATTGAATCCTTGGGAAATCTCCTCCACCTAGTCCTGAACTATTCAAGATGTCTGGCAAAAAGACTTCCAAGTGTAGGTGCACATAATTAGGATCAGGTGGGTTGTCCTCTTTATTCACCCCTTTTTCCATCTGTTTAGTTCCTTTCTTGTCATGTATCATGCTACATAATTGATTCCAGATTGAAGTAGTTTTCTCTCGCATCTCCCCCACCATAGGCAGAAACTGAGAAACCAGCTTACACTGGCTTTATTTTTCTCTCTCTCTCTATTCCATTTTATATTATGACCACTGTACTCCTTTGGGATAAGTCAACTGTAATCATAAATAGCATATTTTTAAATGGGAATAGGGAACGTGGGACTGGGGAGGGCACATGATGGGAAATATTAGCCCATATGCAGCAGACCAGTTAGAGAATATTGCCTAGCCCCATTCAGCCAAGTTGAAGGGAACTAAGCAAGGGATTCCAACTGGCCAGATTTCTCCTGGAATCCATAAAAATTCAAACATGACATTTTATGCATGGGCTGAGTAATTCACAAGTCAGAGCAAAGGATGCATTTGTAAGTGCAGTATTTTGTGGCTGCAAAGTCATGCTCTTAGAACAACTGTGCATCAAAGGTTTGTTGTGATAGAAGAAATAAGATGCACAAGGCCCTTGAAAAAAGAGGACGAGCCCAGGGACTTTTCAAAGCCCTTACCCTATATTTTTCTACATTAAAAATCAAGTCTACTGATGTAGAGGTCTCAGAGAATCATATAAAACAACATATGTAAGAATAATTTTAAAATAATACATTATTATAGAACTCTAGGGCATTTTTATTACACAAGATGGTTTAAATTATTTACTCATTATTGAAGTTATTATTCAATCACTAGTATTTAGGAGATTTAGAAAAGAAATCTATTAACAGGAATGACAAGCTGTGTTTAAATGTTACCTTTTTGCATCTATCCATAATTAGGCTAAAGTCAAGTTGAATAAATCTAGTTCCTTCTCTCCAGAATAATGCAATTTAAACTAAATCCGGTAGCGTAGACAAACATATAATTAGGACTATAACTGTACAAATAGCTGTGGTGACTTAAATAATGAAGTATTTGCTGATTTGTTTTCATCTCAGCACCCCCAAACTACAGCAGCTTGCCAAGTACCTACCCTCTCCACTCCCCCATTCCCTTGCCAATTCCTCAGCTCAAATTTTAAATGAGGAAATATCATAAAAATGGGCCGGTGATGAACAACCTGGCTTCTGGGCCCTGCCATATCATGCCGACATTAAAAAAAAAAAAAAAATCCATAATTGGCCGGGCGCGGTGGTTCACACCTGTAATCCCAGCACTTTGGGAGGCTGAGGCAGGCGGATCACAAGGTCAGGAGATCGAGACCATCCTCACCAACACGGTGAAACCCCGTCTCTACTAAAAATACAAAAAATTAGTCGGGCGTGGTAGTGGGTGCCTGTGGTCCCAGCTACTTGGGAGGCTGAGGCAGGAGAATGGCGTGAACCTGGGAGGTGGAGCTTGCAGTGAGCCGAGATCGCGCCACTGTACTTCAGCCTGGGCGACAGAGCAAGACTCTGTCTCAAAAAAAAAAAAAAAAAAAACTATAATTAATGTCTCTAAGAACAGGATGAAGATTAGCAAAGTAGAACCAAATTTAAGTTTCCATTGATATTTTATTGGCCAAAATCAGACAACAAATGATTTCTCATGATTGCTTCTGTTATGGTCATGCACTTTTTATATTTCATTTCTAAATTATGCAAACAGGTGTTCTCACCTCCAAACTATCAGTCAATTGCCCATTTCCTGCTTTCTGCATTCCCCCAAATTGGGTACTGCTGGCCTCCCTCAATTGAAGGACAGTGGTTTCTAGAAGCCTCTCAAAAGTCCTTGCTGATTAACAAGAAGAGTTCCACATACAAAGTCTAATCATTGAGTTGAAAAATTAAGCGTTTCTTTCTCTACACTATCCACCAATGTTGTCTTTTTAAAAATCATATTATGACATCCTTTGCCTTAATATTCTTTGCTAGTTCTAAGAAAGGGTTCAAGGTATTCAGCACAGCATGCAAAGCCCTTTTTGACTTGGCTCCCGTATGCCACCTCTCCTAGCTCTCCCTATTCTCTCATGCACACCCTAAGTTCTAGCTCTATTCAATTAAGTTTGTTGCCATTACCCAAATCCTTATCTCTTTGCTCATGTCTAGAAGTTTCCCTCCACTTCATCACTTGGAAAATACTATACCTACCCAATTTTTAAGACTCTGATTTAGGTAGCATGCCCTGGCCATCACAGGGGTTGAAATAAGTATCCCCATATTTGACACTGTCTTCTCTCATACTTCTATTTACACTTTCTAGTAATCTGTCGTTGTAACCGCTCAATGGATTCACCTTGCCCACTGCCTAGACAGAGCCGATTTCTCAAGACAGTGGAATTGCAATAGAGAATGACTAATTCATGCGGGAGACCAGAGTTTTGTTATGACTCAAATCAGTCTCCCTGAAAACTTGAGGACTGGAGTTTTTAAGGATAATTTGGTAGGCAGGGGGCCAGTGAGCCGAGAGTGCTGATTAGTCAGGTCGGAGATGAAATCATAGGGAGTCAAAGCTGCCCTGTTGTGCTAAGCCAGATCCTGGGTGGGGGCCATAAAACCAGATGAGCCAGTTTATCGATCTTGGTGGTGCCAGCTGATCCTTCGAGTGCAGGGTCTGCAAAATATCTCAAGCACTGATTTTAGGTGTTACAATAATAATGTTATCCCTAGAAGCAATTTGGAGAGGTTTAGAATCTTGCAGCCTCCAGCTGCGTAACTCCTAAACCATAGTTTCTAATCTTGTGGCTAATTTGTTAGTCCTGCAAAGGCAGTCTAGTCCCCAGGCAGGAAGGAGGTTTGTTTCGAGAAAGGGCTGTCATTGTCTTTCTTTCAAAGCTAAACTACAAGCTAAGTTCCTCCCAAAGTTAGTTTAACCTATGCCTAGGAATGGGCAAGGAGAGTTTGGAGGTTACAAACAAGATGGAGTCGGTTAGGTCAGATCTCTTTTGCTGTAAAAATTTTCTCAGTTATAATTTGTGCAAAGGTGGTTTCATTGTTGTTATCGTTTCCCTTATCTGTCTGCTTCACTAGACTGGGAGGTTCCCGAGACTAAGACCTTTGTCATACATTTTGGTATTTTGGTAATGGTAAAGCTTGCCCTGTCCCTGACATGTAGTAAACACTTAATACATATTTATTAAAGAACTGAATTAATGAATAGACAGATAGACGGATGATAGCAAAGCTACCATATCTATTTCCAAGCCAGTCTCCATCTGCCTCTGACAGTAAAGTGGCCATTGTCTTATAATGTACTGTGTCAAATGTGTTCAAGGTCCTTCCATTCCCCTGTTTCCCCTCCACCTTAGAGGTGTGTTCTCTTGGACACCTTAGGTAAGAGGTATAACAATTTGAGACCCCGAAATAAAAATCCAAATAAAATCAAAGCAGCAATCTCCTCAAATGTAAAAATGTTGCTTCTATGGTTGTATTGTCATAAGAATAAAAAACCACCATTGATGGTTTAAAATTCAAAATATGCTATATATATTTTTAAGTGTTGTTTTTATTTCTACTTCTGCTTATGGAGTGAAGAAATACAATTACTTCCATTATTACTAAGTATCTTCCCTGAAAACGGATGCCAAGCAGCTTGGGATGTCTCTGCTCAGCCTTTCTCTTTCACAGAAAGACTTAATCTGTAGGAAAATATATTCAGCAGCCATCATCAACGTATAAGCCACGTTAAATTTTGAAGAAATCAAGTATTCCTTTGTCATTCAGAGGATATCATTAGAGTTAATATTTTAGTATAGCTAAACCAATGTGAATCTTTATATTAAAAAACAAAGTCAAAGACTATTCAGGCAGGAAGGTACTGAAACATTTTAGTACAGTGCCTTAATAGACTGCCCGAATTTGCCCTCCATGCCTTCCAGGTTATTTAACGTCTCTGAGCCTGAGCATCCTCCTCTACAGAATTGGAAATAATTGTAGTAACTGGCTCGTAGGATGACTTGCAGATTGAATGGGACAACGTATATACGAATGTAGAGTATTTTGGTCATTCTTGGCACACAGGAAGCCTTTACGAAATTCTCACAGTTGACAAAAGGGGGACATGCCTTCATTACACAGGCAAGCAATCTGAGGACATGAGAAATGATGTGAATTACTTAAGTTTATGATAGGATGCATCTTAAATAGCTCGTAGTTATCTCTAACTTAAACTGTTTATTCTTGAGCCTACAAATTTTAAGATCAAAACAAGGCAAAACAAACAACAACAAAAAAGTATGCCGGTAATATTAAAACTGAGGATAAATGAGTAGAAAGCCAACAGTCGGCCCTGTTAGAATCAGCTTGGCTGCAAAGCCCTATCAAACATAAAGAAAATATTGTACAGAAAAAGCAATATTAGAAAGTGCTTTTCAAAAGCTCACTTAAGCCTGCAGTTTATAGCAGGCCTTCTATCCAATTAGAGAAGGAAAAAAAAAAAAAAAAGAAAAAGGCAAATCTGAAATTTCAGAGGACAGGTTTGTAAATACAAGTTTGTAAAAATCTTAAATGGGGTTATTGTCAGGTTCTGATACCCTGTTTTCCTCTGACCTTGGTTCAGCCAGTAATACCCGCTCTGGCTTCTTCACAAGTACATACTTACCACAAGAATCTCTACATTTTCAGTTCAGAGTCCTCACAGGTCAGCAAATTTGGAGGCTTAATGGTTTTCTTATAAGCTTTCCCACACTCTTTGCCTTGGCTCAAACCTCAATGTAGTATCATTTATCATAAGTTAACTATGTGACCTTCAAATTTAAAGCAGGACCTGGCAATGCAGCCACACTACAATGGCAAGAGAAGCTGAGAGCCTTGCTTTTCTCAAAAAAAAAAAAAAAAAGGCTCATTTGTTGGTGCTTAAATTTCTTTTTAAGCAAAGACAGAAATCGATTTGAATTTTATTGGCCTTAAACGTCTTCTCTAGGACAATGAATAGATTGGCTAAATTACTCTGGTTTTATTTTGTCCATTTAATATTTCTGCATTTTAAAAAAGAGAAGCTCACTAATGTTCTAAATGTCTGATCAAAAACACTCCGGAGACAGAGACCTAACTCTAGAATTAATACAACGTGTATAATGTGTTCCTCCTGGGAGAGGACTGAGAAAGGGATGAGGTGCCTGATAATCCTGGAGCAAGGTCTACATCCCATCATCCCATCACAAGGAGTTGGGGGGCAGACAAGCAGCAAGGCTGGAGGGGGACCCCAGGCCACTCCAGCTGAGGATGAAGCTGGCAATGATCATCCAGGTGCCGGAAAGAAACAAGAGCTATTTTTTACTGAGCAGCATGTGCAGCTTTGGCAGAGGAACCAAAGCCCAGACCTGGAGATTTGGATTCGGTCTGAATGTCCCAAATAGCAAGATCCTAACTTCGAGAGCCTTTGTTCTGGCAGCTCAAAGTAGAAAGGACCCTTGCTGCATAACCCTTCCCATAGACTACCTTATCCCCCACCGTGAGCATCTTGATTTGGCTGAGAAGGGCTCTGAAAGAGCAGAAACAGACACAGTAATTGTTTCCTCATGAGTTGTCATGGAAATCCAGTCAGACAGTGTATGTCTGATAGATACTCTGAGTATCTATCGGAGTACGTAGCCCTAAGTGACTACTTACCTGTTAGTTCTCTTCCTTGCAATATATCATTGTATGCTTTCTGTTATTTTAACATCAGATAAAGTCCAAACAATTAATTTCTGAGAAGTTCCTAAGAATAATACATGGCAAACTCCAAAAACCATGCTGCATTTTAGATGCCTTAACTCTGAGTACACCTGCTTTCAAAGAAATAGCTTTTCTATATCCACCTCCAGTGGGCATGACCCGGATGCCAGGGAGCATCATTTTTTGCCTTCCCATCATATTACTAAGCTTACCAGGGCATACATATACCCAGAGTAAACTAAGTTAGAACATAGAAGTCCCAATTAAACTGAATTAAAATAAAGGAAAATGTGTTAATGCCATCCTAGTTTACATACTGTTTTGTATAGCATTCAGGGGAATGAGAGAACAATGGATGTAATAGGAAGATTATTCCAAGGATTGAATTTCACATGAATCATTTGATATTCTATCTGTGCCATGAGCAAGTCATGTTGCATTAGATCAAATTCTGATTTCGTTTCATTGCCAAGTATCCCATCATTACAACCTTGCCTTTTGCCTCTTCATTACAGGGATGTAATCGAAGGACGAATCCCTGAGAGCTTGTTGCTTAACTGCCCATGTGTGCACATTTCACAACCTGCCATTGTTATAAGACACTCTGGTTAATAAGCAGATAATAGGATATGCAAATGGCATATACCTGATGAGGAAGGAAAACTATGCCTTCTCACCTTTGCATAAATACTAGCTGACTTCTCTGTCACCATGGAAGCATCTTGCTCTGGGTAATTTATGGAACATTTTGTCCAGGCAGGAAGAAATGTCCCTCTGCCTTGGGAAATACAGGCAATGGAATAGTTTTCTTGCATTTTATAGGACTTGGAGTGTGGGCAACTCAGAGAGGTCTTTGGACAGGAGAATCTTTTTTAAATGGGCACAGTAAGCCATTAAATAAAACAAGCCTCACATTGTGGAACGTTTTTAAGCAGCCCCAAAAGAGTTTATAAAATACGACGCCAGAGCTTACATCGCCTCGGAGATGCTCACAAGAGGTCAGATTGATACTGAAACTCACCAAAGGCAGACACTATAGTGATTCAGCCCTGATACCAAAGAAAATACGGAGGCGATTTAGAGATATTTTAAAATCTTGGGAGCTAGTTGAGTTTTTAATGATTCCTCTCTGGGCTATGCACCATCGGGCATGGTATTGTAATGAAGTGGCCCACCAACTCATTGTCCTGAAGCAGAGGAGACAGCACAGCGTTTGTAGAAAAAAAGATATGAGTTTAATGTCTTTGACAGGACGGGATTATCTCTTAGCCTCAGTTTCCTTATTTACAAATGGAGATAGTAACTGTGCAGCTTTTTCATAAGATCACTGTAAGGTTCAAAAGTTGGCATGATTATGGCAATTGTCTGCTGGGTTGCTTCCCTCTGTCCCTGTGATCCCCTCTCTATACTTCCCCAGCTTCCTCTCTGCCCTGAGGTACCCACCTGGATACCTGGATAGATTCCACATCCACTGGGCTCCATACACTGACTTCAGGTTAGATTTGGCCATGAAGAGCACTAGCAGGAGAACAAGAGGAGGAGCGAGAGTGGGGCTGGGAGTGTATTCCTTTGGCTCCCACCTGGCAAGCTCACCCCAGGCTAGCTATGTCCTTTGCCCTGAGGTGGTAGTACCCGCAGGTCACCAAGTCCACCTACCCTCTATGGCGGTTTCCAGGAACTGTTAGCTCCCCTCAGCCCTTTTTGCCTGAGGATGGTAATGGTGTCCCCCACTTTATGACTAGCTCAGGGTCCTGCTTCATCCTTTGTGGTTTTTCCATGTCCTGCTCACACCATCTTAAGAGGCCTTTTATTAAACACTACTCAAATCATCCTAATTTGAATGTACCATCTGTTTCTTCTGGCCACCTGAATAATACACACTCTAAAAATATTCTATTGGCTAATACATGTCAGAGGTGTAATTTATTCATTTTATTTATTTATTTATTTATTTTGAGACAGGGTCTCACTCTGTCACCCAGGCTGGAGTGCAGTGGCATGATCACAGCTCACTGCAGCCTTGACCTCCTAGGCTCAAGCCATCCTCCCACCACCACCTCCAGAGTAGCTGGGACTACAGGGGAATAGCACCATGCCTGGCTAATTTCTGTATTTTTTGTAGAGACAGGGTTTCACCACATTGCCCAGGATGGTGTCAAACTCCCAGGCTCAAGCAATCTGCCCACCTCGGCCTCCCAAAGTGCTGAGTTTACAGACATGCGCCACTGTGCCCAGCCTTAACTTAAAATAACAAAAGAATTTTAAAGCCAACTGTCAATTTCCCCTTTATAATTCCTCATTTATGATTTACCTATTACAGTTAAATAAAATTCTTAAAATATAAACAAAACATCCTGCAGTCCAGTAACAATTGTATGTAGGAGAGCAATCAAATGAATCATTTCCACTGTCTCGCTGTTTGGATGCTAAAATCCATATCACTCAGTAAATATAACATACGTCTATAGTTCACTTGTTATCAAATATTGTCAGCAAATGTCCCTAGAAGGATCAAGCAGGGACCCTTCAATGTTGCACAGACCATTTGGATGAAGACCCCCTAACTTCCTGTAAGACATATGATTGCCTTCCCCACCACAGGTATAACAGATCCTTGGACCAAATGTGACCACAATTACAGTGGGGTATGGTCCTCTGCTTAAACACTGGCTTTTGCCAGCCTCACTGGAAAGCTATGATGACCCTGTATCTGAATCCTTTTACCCAGGATCTAAACTGGCATAGTGGGTGGGCTTCGGGCTAGACCTTGCTCTTCTTTCTACCTGGTCCTGGCTGCAGGGACAGACATCTGCCTCTGGCCTGAAACTGGAGTTATCACACACAAGAAATTCTCCCAATTGGCCTGAGAGCTCTGAGGCTACTGAAGATGAAAATAAAAAATTAGGAAGCCCAGTCATCTTTCATCCACCAGAGATGAGATGTGGCAGTTTTCAGTAGTTGGTGATGGGCTAATTCAGAACTTGACTTTCACATAGAGATAACATGAGAATGAAAATACCACCATTGTACAGATAAAAACAAAATATTTTTAAAAAGGTGACAGTGCAATGTGCCCTATGTTTAGGGTCAGGACTCCTGAGTTTGAGAGCTCAGCTCTATCTCTGATTACCTGTGTCACTTTAGGCCGGCCACCTGTGCAGCTTTCCCAGCCTATTGTTTTTAAGTGAAACTTAGACATACCAACACCTTTCCCAACAGATTCCACAGGGATTTGTAATGATTAGCAAATGTGATAATACCAGAAAACATTCTGCAAAACAAAATTGTATGCAAATGTGCTGTTTTGTTACAAATGAAAACATGAAGACAAGCGTGTAAAAATGAATGGAGACTGGAGGAAGCCTCAGGGGCTCACAGCAACAACGTTCCTGGAAGGCAAAAGGCTTCAAGTGTTCTTCAGTGTTAAACACTTGGGATAGATTCAGGAGAAGGGCATTCAAAGTCGTCTCTTTTTGGGGAGGTGGGAAGGCAGATGGGGACCACCAGGAGGAAAGAATGCAGCTGAAGAAATTTACACAAGAAGGAGCCAAATGAACTGCTTTAAAACCTTCCTTACGGTGGCTCTCCCTATATGGACAGTGATCAAACTTCCCAGTTTGCCCAGACCTGAGGGGTTTTCTGGAACCTGGAATTTTCAATACTAAAACCAGGACAGTTCCAGGCAGCCAAGATGAATTGGTCAGCCTACTATACTTACCCCGCTCCTGTTGGTGAAATCCCTGTACCCTTCATTCTTGGGGTGTGGTGGTATTTCTCTACCAAACTACACTTTGTCTTCTCTCTTTTTAAAGCTGTTTCATCTTTTTCACTTGTCTAATGTTTCCACCGAGCATGCAGAGGGATAGGAAAAACCAAGTGGCCTCTGTTTCTTAGTAGTCTGCTGGTGCCTATAGAAATATTTTGTTTCTATTAAGCTTTTCTCCAGTTTACTTCTAAAGGAAAGTAGCAGAACAAGGCAGCCCACCCCAAAATGAGAGTTTTACCATTTCATTCCACATGCTCCCAATAGACACTGTTTTTAGGAGAAAATATGCTTTCTCCTGATTCTACAAACATGATGGGAAATGTTTCTCTCTGAATAGCTGCTGTGGCCTGGATCTGCTGGTGATGTTATCTGCTTAAACAATTACTTTTGCTGGAAGGAGAGTTGATTGGGTGCATAAAGATACTTCAGATAGGCTTTTGGTTCTTGAAAACCAGTGGTCATGGCCATCTCCTTAGCCAGCTAAGGGCACTGGATGTCCCTCTCCAGAGCCCACCGTGCAACAGCAGAAGGGATACAGCCAAGCCGAATTACAGCAATTACTCTCCATTTTTACTCAAATGTAATTTACCTCCACTCACATTCATCAGCTTTGACAAACAAACCACTGTTCTTCATCTCTGAGCGATCAGAGCCTGTTGGGGAGAGGAAGAGAGACACCTTCCCCTCCACACATACCCATAATTAACCAGTTAAGGCAGACAGTGGCGGGCTATAGAATTTTGCTACTGAAGTGTGGTCCCTAAGGACAGCATCAGCATCATTTGGATGCTTCCTAGACATGCATTGTCTCCAGCCCACCCCAGATCGAGTCAGAATCTGCATTTCAACATGCTCTGCAGGTGATTCCTGTTCACTCTAAAGTCTGAGAAGCACAGAAAATGGGAAATCAATGTGCTTGCACTGGGAAGGAGGAATACATGCTAGCGGGGAGGAGCCTTCCTGAAGGATGGATGAAGGAACCCCAAAAGCAGTGACGTGATCCCAGGGGAATAGCAGATGGTCACAGAGAGCAGGGAAACGCCTGAAAGAACTGGAGCTTAGGGTCGAGACTGAGATGAGTATGAGACCAGGTTCATTAAACGGGTTAAATGCCCAGCTGGCAATCTGGACTTAGTCTGAAGAAATAAGGAAAAAAATCAGTGACTGTTTTGAGGAAGAAATGCTGTGTTCAGCTCTGTGCTTTAAAAGTGCAACCCCAGCTACTGCGTGAAGGAGGGGAGAAGGGAAGTGAGGGGAGAAAAGAGAAGCATCAAGACAAGCACTTTGAAATAGCATCATACTCTACTCCCCACCAAGGGAGTCTGCAAGTAGTATAGATCCCTAAGTGCCCCCTGGACCTACCCACCAAATAAGCTGCAGCCCACTAACGCCTAGGAACACTACTGAGAGAATGATTAATCGTTAAGCCCAGCATATTGGTGTTTATCTTTAAGGATAAAATTACCATTTCTTTCCCTTGAGGCAGCTCTGATTCAGGAACTTAGTGGGTTGAATGGTGTCTCCCAGAAAGATAAGTCCACGTGCTAACCCTGGAAACTGTGTATATAACCTTACTTGGAAAACAGGTCTTTGTAGATGTAATTATCCTGGATTATAAGATGAACCCTGAATCCAGTGATGTGTCCTTATGAAAGACAGAAAAGAAATGTCCTTATAAAAGATAGAAAAATAAATAAATGAATAAATAAAAGATAGAAAAGAAGTGTCCTTATAAAAGATAGAAAAGAAGCGTCCTTGTAAAAGACAGAAAAGAAGACGTGAACATAGAGTGAGAAAAGAAGGAAGCCATGCGAGGGTAGAGGCAGAACTTAGAGTTATGCAGCCACAAGCCCTCAGAAGCTGGAAGAGAGAGGGAAGGATTCTCTTGTAGAGGCTGCAAAGGGAAGATGGCCCTACCGACACCATGATTTTTGACTTCTGCCCTCCAGAACCGTGGCAGGATATGTTTCTGTTATAAGCCCCCAATCTGTATTAATTTGTTATGGCAGCCCTACAAAACTACCACAGGGAATGACTGAGGCTTTTGGATTTCATGTGCAAATGATACTTAAAAATTAGCCCTGTCTAAACGATGACAATGATAACAGTGGTGAACGACAACAGTTCAAATTATAATAATGGTGCCCATACTTGGGCTTAGCATGCTTCTGTATCTATCTCTGTCCTGAGCCACTTTTTCACAGTTATGATTGCACAGAACCATCTGTGTTCTCTTTCCTTCCTTGTTCCTCCTAACACGTGGCTAATGATGCATCATCGGTCAGCATTTCCCAACTGATAGGCAAAAGAATGCACATCCCCCTCCCCACATATCTACATCCTCATCCCAGAACCTGTGACTGTGTTACCTGTTATGGCAAAAGAATGTTGCCTGTGTAAGACTTTGAGATGGGAGAAATTATCCTGCATTATCCACTAATGTAACACTAGTAGCACTAATGTAATTATAGGGGCTTTCTAAAGAAACGGAGAAACAGGAGATGTACGACTGAAGCAGAAATTAGAATAATGCTAAGTTCTGATCCAAGAACTGTGGCAGCTTCTAGAAGGTGGAAAGGGCCAGGAAATGAATTCTCCCTTAAAACCTCCAGAAGGCCTGCAGCTCTGCCAACTCATTTGGGCTTCTGACCCTCCAGAACCATAAGATAATAAATGTGTGTTGCTTCAAGTCACAAAGTTTGTGGCAATTTTTTATGCAACAATGCCCTGTAGTCCTAGCTATTGGGGAGGCTGAGGTAGGATAATCACTTGAGTCTAGGAGTTCAAGGCTGCCATGAGCTGTGATTGAGTCACTGCACTCCATGCTGTGGATGGGGACAAAGCAAGACCCTATCTCAAAAAAAAAAAAAAAAAGAAAAAGAAAAGAAAAGAAAACATATATATACCATTTTTTTCACTGTGCCTCCTTAATGGAAAAAAAAATTTTTTTTTTTTTGAGACAGAGTCTCACACTGTCACCCAGACTGGAGTGCAGTGGTGCCATCTCAGCTCACTGCAACCTCCATCTCCCAGGTACAAGCAATTCTCCTGCCTCAGCCTCCCCAGTAGCTGGGATTACGGTGCCCACCACCACAACCAGCTAGTTTTTGTATTTTTAGTAGAGACAGGGTTTTACCATGTTGGCCAGGCTGGTCTCGAACTCCTGACCTCAAGTGATCCGACCTTCTCAGCCTCCCAAAGTGCTGGGATTACAGATGTGAGCCACCGTCCCTGGCCAAGGAAACTTTTTAGAGCATTTCCCTAACCACTCTCCTTCCAGCATGAAATATTAATATCAAAGATATACTGTATGTCTGTCTATGTACTGTGGCTCTGAGGAGGGTCACAAACAATTTGAATAGCCAAGATTTTTTCACCCTCCAAGAACCGATTTCATTCCCTTAGGGCAATGTCACCATGTTGAAAATGCATGAACTAAGTCCTATCTGTCCGTCCTTCCTGGCACAGCTCCATTTTTATCTCCCCCATGAAGCTTCCTCAAATCAGCTAAGCAATTTTGAGTTATAGGAACATTTTATGATCTCTTCTCCTGTTGCCCACCGTGTGGTTTTAACGAACCATATGGCTTAGGTTTAAACATCTCCTTTATCAGTCAACCCTTTTCCAAAGATGAAGTGTCCAATGGCTAAGCTCTGTTCGAATGTTTTCCACACATTGAGCTGAAATCTGTCGTTCTGCAACTTCCACCCGCTGGTCTTAACCCTATCCTTTGGAAGATTCACATAAAATGCAGCTGATTCCTTTTTTTTTTTTTATTCTCCCAACATCCCTTACTTGAGGATGTTCGTCTCCTTCCCAGTCATCCTTTTTTACAGGATGAAAATCACAAGTTCCTTAAATGAGTCCTTAGGTGACGTAGCTTGTGAGCATTTTCACTGCTCTGATAATGCCATGAATGTACTCTGTTTCACTGCGGAGGCTGAATTTTGGGTAGTGGATTCCAGAATGCATCATTTTATCTCTTAAAGCTTGATACTCAGACTGGAACTAAGTTGTCTTGGTAAAGTTTGACCAGAACAGGGAAGAGCAAGATCTTACCTCCCTTTTTCTAACGTATTCCTCTACATGCAACTTTTGGCAATAATATTAATAAGTGTAATGTGGCTGACAAATTATTAAGTTTACTTACTGCGAACTAAAATGCTCAACATTAACTAGTGCTAATCCTGTGATATTTGGAGGAAAATTTTAGAACCGCATACTTATTCCTATTAATTTCTATTACATTAGTCTCTCTAATCTTTTTGATGTTTATTTAGAACCAGATTCTCACATACAACATAGGCACAGTCCCCCCTCCTAGCTTTTGAACATTTATAAATATGAATATGCCTTTATATTTCACCATGTCATTAATAAAATAATACTGAACTATCAGGATAGGACAAAGGTCAAATCCCTGAAGCACACTACTAGAATCCTCTTCAGGTAGACATTAATCAATTAACTGACTTAGCTGGGGCCACTCAACAGCCATCTAAAAATACCTACAACTCATTGATCTTTCTTGTATTTTTTCATCTAGTCGACAAGGCTTCAAAAGATATCATGCCCTTCTCTTTTCTCCTAGAGGTACCTCATTTTCTGAATCTTCAGCATAGTAGCTCTCAAAAGCACTGAATGAGACGAGTCTGATACAATTTGTTTTCAGCGTACCCAGTCCACCTTATCATTTCCTTCTCTCTACTCATGACCAGGACGTGGTATTCCATTTTAGAATTTTACCCCAGGGACTGGAAAGATGCATCCTCGGTATATGGACAAGGAGCTAGACTGGGAGAGAGCTTCCTGGGGGGACCCCTCTCTCCTTATATTGCTCTGAGTGAAGTCCCACCTGCTCTAAGTCTGAAGATTGGTAGAGCAGATGCTCCAGTCAAAGGCCACAGTAGCCATGGGGCAGCTCTTGAGCCTGAATGGATTGGAGACCAACACCAAAACATGAAGGCGGCCTGATCAGAATCTGAGACTTCTCTTCATATTTTTCAGTTTATGGCTAAGAAATTACAATTTCATAGAGCAGTACCTAGGACAGAGATACTGGGAGTTTTCCTGGGGAGGCAAAGGATGCTATCGAAAAGGGAAGGGGTGCAGGAGGCAGACGGTAGTAGATTCCAGAATGCAAAGGGAGGCCTTATACCCTTACAACCTCCAAGTCTCCAACCCTTAAACTCCCTGAGCAACATCCAGGCTTTCTGTCCTCCCCAAAGGTAGCTGGAACAGTAAGGAAAGCTCCAGGCAATATAAATGACCTCCCACGGAAAAATTATATGACACTTAAAGGGCCAAGAGTTACAAGAAAAAGACAATAAAAATCGCAATGTAACACAGCAGAAGCAGAGTTAATGATACAAGAAAATAGTAACTCAAAATAAGCTTAATAAATAGGGTTGAGGTATTCAACGAGAATTCTTACCAATATGAAGCATGAACAAGCATTAGGATGAACCAACCAGAGACATTTGCCATTAAAAATATAATTGCTGAAATAAAGAACTCAGAGGATGATTTTAATAACAGAATGGACTCAACTGAAGAAAGAACTAGAGAACTAGGGGATTTTCAGAAACTCCCCATAGGACATTGAATAAGATTAAGGGAGGTCAGAAAGAGTAAAAGTAGGAGTACTGGATGATAAAAGTAGAAATTTCAATATCCAACTAAGTGCAATTATAGGGTAAAAAGAAAAGGTAAAATGAGTGTGGGCTATACTTGAAGAAATTATATTTAATTACGTCCCACAGCTTAAAAAGATTCAAGATCTTAGACTGAAAGGGCACAAAGGGAGCCAAACAGTACCAATAAGAAAACATATTTTCCCAGTGCTACTTTATATCTCATTGGCTGGAACTGCCCCATGTAATATAGGAATGAGTCTTTATTAACTTACATCAATCGGTATTTTACCTGTGAAGCTGGTAGACGAACCTACTTTCCAAGGGCTCTGCACCTGACAACTGAACAAAATTAGGTCTCTGTTGGCAAGCCAGGACATCAAAATAAGATGAAAGTGATATTTGGCTATTGAGCAATAAATAATGTCAGCTACAGGTATTAATTGTAAAAAAAAAAAAAAAAGTTTCTGAATTATCCATTTTTAAAAATTTTTACAGCAATCATGAACTAAATATATGATACCAACATGGTGGAGATGAGGAAGATGAGGAAGAGAAAGAAAATAATATGCACATCTTAGTAGAAAGTTTTAAATACTGATTAGCTCTAGATAGCATACTAGCTTTCTATTCTGTATAACAAATAGTCACAAACTTAATAGCTTAAAACAGGATTAATTTATCACTTGCAGTAATAAGTGAGTCTGACCTCTAAAGGCCAGAGCTCAGGCAGAGCTCTGTCAGGTTCTCTCCTCAGGGTTTCACAAGGCTGAAATCAAGGTGTCACCCAAGCTGCATTCTCAGCTGGAGGCTTGACTCAGGAAGTATCTGTCTTTAAGCAATCTCTGGTTGTTGGCAGAATTAATGGCTTTGTAGCAGTAATATTCATGGAAACTTTCTTCTTCAAAGCCAGCAATAAAAAGAATCTCTGCTGCTTCAAGATTCTGATGTCTAGATGCTCTTTGCAAAAGCTCATCTGATAGATCAGGTCCATCCAAGATCATCTCCCTTTTGAGTGACTCAAAGCCAACTAACTAAGGACATTAATTCAGCTGTAAAATTCCTTACAAAACCTTAGTAATTAAAAAGGTATCATTGTGGCATAGGAACATTCAAGGAAAGCAACTGAACATGATAGAGAGGTTAGCCACTCATGTATATGTGGGAACATAATATGTGAGAGGGTTTGCATCACGAATCAGTAGAAAAAAAGAAAAAACTGATTTTACACAAAGTGTTAGAATATTTGACTCAGACCATATGGAGTAATATGTTTAAAAGAAGTTGTAATGAAATCATCCAACAGAGAAAATCAACTTGGATTAGAGTCCTAATTATGAAACATACACTATAAAACTAATTAAAAATGACTTTTTTTTATCTCAGAGGAAAAGGATTTCATAAGGAAAACCTCTAAAAGCACATAAGATTAAGGGAGGTCAGAAAGAGTAAAGGTAGGAGTACTGGATGATAAAAGTAGAAATTTCAATATCTTCTTCAAAGCATATACTATATGGGAAAAATTGGTGAGTTTGACTCTACCAAAGTGTCATAGTCCATTTTGTGTTGCTGTAACAGAATACCTGACACCAGATAATTTATTTTAAAAAGAGGTTTATTGGGCTTATGATTCTGGTGGCTGGAAAGTTCAAGAGAATGGCACCAGCATCTGCTCAGGCTCTGGTAAGGGCCTCACGCTGTCTCGCAACACGGCAGACAAGCATAAAAGCAAGTGAGCGGCTGGATGCGGTGGCTCACGCTTGTAATCCCAGCACTTTGGGAGGTTGAGGCGGGCGGATCATGAGGTCAGGAGATCGAGACCATCTTGCCTAACACAGTGAAACCCCGTCTCTACTAAAGATACAAAAAAAATTAGCCAGGCGTGGTGGTGGGCGCCTGTAGTCCCAGCTACTCAGGAGGCTGAGGCAGGAAAATGGCGTGAACCTGGGAGGCGGAGCTTGCAGTGAGCCAAGATGCACCACTGCACTCCAGCCTGGTCAACAGAGCAAGACTCCATCTCAAAAAAAAAAAAAAAAAAAGCAAGTGAGCATGTGCAAAAAGACCCAACACAAGAGGCAGTCTCACTTATAACAACCTGCTTTGGTGGGAACTACTCTGTGTCCAAAAGAGCAAGAACTCACTGATTCCAGAGAGACAATAGAGCCCTCAGAAATAATACCACACATCTACAACCATCTGATATTTGACAAACCTGACAAAAACAAGAAATGGGGAAAGAAGTACCATGCTGTTTTGGTTACTGTAGCCTTGCAGTATAGTTTGAAGTCAGGTAGCGTGATGCCCCCAGCTTTGTTCTTTTGGCTTAGGATTGTCTTGGCAATGTGGGCTCTTTTTTGGTTCCAAGACACATAATTGTCAGATTCACCAAAGTTGAAACACAGGAAGAAATGTTAAGGGCAGCCAGAGAGAAAGGTCGGGTTACCCACAAAGGGAAGCCCATCAGACTAACAGCGGATCTTTCAGCAGAAACTCTAAAAGCCGGAAGAGAGTGGGGGCCAATATTCAACATTCTTAAATAAAAGAATTTTCTTTCTATACTATAAGGCTACAGTAACCAAAACAGCATGGTACTGGTACCAAAACAGAGATATAGACCAATGGAATAGACTAGAGCCCTCGGAAATAATACCACACATCTACAACCATCTGATCTTTGACAAACCTGACAAAAACAAGCAATGGGGAAAGGATTCCCTATTTAATAAATGGTGCTGGGAAAACTGGCTAGCCATGTGTAGAAAGCTGAAACTGGATCCCTTACTTAAACCTTATACAAAAATTAATTCAAGATGGATTAAAGACTTAAACATTAGACCTAAAACCATAAAAACCCTAGAAGAAAACCTAGGCAATACCATTCAGGACATAGGCATGGACAAGGACTTCATGACTAAAACACCAAAAGCAATGGCAACAGAAGCCAAAATTGACAAATGGGATCTAATTAAACTAAAGAGCTTCTGCACAGCAAACGAAACTACCTTCAGGGTAAACAGGCAACCTACAGAATGGGAGAAAAATTTTACAATTTACCCATCTGACAACGGGCTAATATCCAGAATCTATAAAGAACTTAAACAAATTTACAAGAAAAAATCAAACAACCCCATCAAAAAGTGGGTGAAGGATATCAACAGACATTGCTCAAAAGAAGACATTTATGCAGCCAACAGACACATGAAAAAATGCTCATCATCACTGGCCATCAGAGAAATGCAAATCAAAACCACCATGAGATGCCATCTCACATCAGTTAGAATGGCGATCATTAAAAAGTCGGGAAACAACAGGTGCTGGAGAGGATGTGGAGAAATGGGAACACTTTTACACTGTTGGTGGGACTGTAAACTAGTTCAACCATTGTGGAAGACAGTGTGGCGATTCCTCAAGGATCTAGAACTAGAAATACCATTTGACCCAGCCATCTCATTACTGGGTATATACCCAAAGGATTTAAATCATGCTGCTATAAAGACACATGCATGCTTATGTTTATTGTGGCACTATTCACAATAGCAAAGACTTGGAACCAACCCAAATGTCCATCAATGATAGACTGGATTAAGGAAATGTGGCACATATACATCATGGAATACTATGTAGCCATAAAAAAGGATGAGTTCATGTCCTTTGTAGGGACATGAATGAAGCTGGAAACCATCATTCTCAGCAAACTATCACAAGGACAAAAAACCAAACACCGCATGTTCTCACTCATAAGTGGCAATTGAACAATAAGAACACATGGACACAGTGTGGGAAACATCACACACCGGGGCCTGTTGTGGGGTGGGGGGAGGGGGGAGGGATAGTATTAGGAGATATACCTAATGTAAATGACGAGTTACTGGGTGCAGCACACCAATATGGCACATGTATACATATGTAACAAACCTGCACGTTGTGCACATGGACCCTAGAACCTAAAGTAAAATAAATAAATAAATAAATAAATCCAGCAGAAATATATTCAGAGAACATGCAATTTACATAATGGAACAAAAATATCTAACAAATATAAAAACACAAGTTAACTTATAAAACTGATTTTCAGGGAAGTTAGGACATCAAACAGTATTACATATCCACAAAATCACAAACTAGTAAATGACAGCAAGGATTCAAAAGATGTCCCGTTTTATTCAAAAGCCCAATATATCTTCATTGCACTATGATGTTTAACAAGAAAAAACAATTTTTTTCATCCCAATAAGTTGAACTCAATTCTCTGCAGCAGATCCAGGACGAGGGTGAGACAAGGAAGGCACTAGCCTTGGGCTAATTTAAGAGGGTGCCAAAAATCAGTAATGAAGATAAATAATATTTTAATGAATTTTTAAAAACAATGGAAAAATGTTCATGAACAAAATATCAAGATTTTTAAATAAATGATGTAGCCCAACAATACCTTGTCAATCTTTATCGAAGCCTAAGGCAAAACTGAAAATGTCTACCTGATATACGTATATCTTTATATATATTTTTGTAGTTCTTTTTTTATGGGCCATTGAAGAAGTTGAGAAATTATTGAAAAATTGAAAGACCAGTGTATTAAAGCTCACATTATTTTATGTTGAAGTATTTCTTCATACCTAAAATTGGATCTACTATAATTTTACTTTCCTGGCTTTCATAGAAGCAAATGCATCAACAATATTTTCAACTGAAAATGAGATAAGCCAGGAAGTCAATTTTGCTCATCTGTGACCGGCTCTGAGTGGAGGCAGTGCTGCCCAGGAAAAAGGATTGCCTACACATTTGATTCTAATCTGCACCTTATTATTCGACTTGTTTAAAATGAGAAGTACCTCCTTTGGCACTTCTTGGAGGCACCAGTGGGTAATACTGATTGCTTCTCCCTTTCTCTTTAAACAGCTTTGTTGGCTGCAGAACTTCAGAGCAGGTGTGCCTCCTGTTCATGAACTATGCAGTACCTGCCCATCTGCAAGTCAGCATTTGCTTGCAAAACTTTCCTTTTTATTCACCTAGAACACAAAATTCACTGCTGAAGCTGGGTCCACAGCAACTTTTTTGAAATGCCCTTTGTGAGTCATATAAATCATCCACTTAGAACATCTGATTAACTTAAAGTAGGTGATTGATTTTAGGCAGGTTTCTTCTTACCTATTTGTAGTAAACTGGTCTTTTAGGCAGTAACTTTGGCTTCCACCAAAGGCATCCTCCCTGAGCAAGGAGGACATTAGAATTAAAGGCAAAAATCCAGGCACTGGCCGAGCATTTAAAGAAAGATTAGAAAGAAACACTCGACCTATACATTTTCCAATTAATTCTAAGATAAAAATGAAACTGAGCTGGATTATCATTCCTGTTCTCCATTAGTCATTGATTTTCTACTGCTTCAAACTCTGGTAGACTGCTTTATAATGACAAGATTGTCTGCTTATTGGAGCAGCTAGGTACTACAGTAGTGGGTCTCACTACCACAGCCCATCAGAATTATCTGGAACGCTGGTCAAGACACAGACTTTGAGCCCCAGTCCCAGAGTTTCTGATTCAGTAGGTCTGGGGTGTGGCCAGAGAATTTGCATCTCTAACAGATTCCCAAGTGAGGCTGATACTTCCAGTCCGTGGACCACACTTTGAGAACCGCTGTACCATAGTAATGTGTCTAAATACAGATATCTTGCCAAACAATAAGATGTAGCCAAGAAGGAATGAATATGTCTGTTGCTGTATCACAACTAAATGGACACCTGTAATCGGGTAAAACCAAAAAGCACCACACTTACCTTGTTGGTCTGGTTATTTGGAGCAATACTCAATCCTTCATGTGCACTCACCCCTCGGGAGCTTGTGAAACTGCAGATACTGATCCATGTGAGGGAAGACCCCACGTTTTTCATTTCTCACCCATGATGATGCTGCCAGTCCACAGACCACACTTTTAATAGCAAAAAGCAAAAATAAACCCCATTTAATACAGCTTTTCATTAAGTTACTTACCACTAATTCAGAACAGAAGGCTATTGTTCTTGTAAACAGCTTTTTAAACATGCTTCAGTCCAGAAGCAGGTTTTTTGTCAGTGGTATTGGATTTATCAAAAAATAAATTTTTACTCTACAGCTTTGTAGGAGACAAATTCCTTAGAATTGCAGGGAGGAAAGTACTTATTCCTCTCAGTAAGGAAGATGCAGGAAAATAGAGGATATGGGATAGTAGAAGATGTGGTCTCATTTGCAGCTCTTTGGCCTCGGGGTCTCCTATAGCTTTATTTTGACCTGGTGCTAAGCTTCAGTGATGTTCTGGCTTGTCATCCAGATTCTATACTCCGAAAAGAAAGACTTTGATTGGGCAGGTTTGCCACGATGTAGAAAAAGCAACCCTATTGGAAAGCGTTTGCCCTTAAACAGAAGAGTCACCATTGCCTTCAGCTGGTATACTACTATGGGCAATGAATCGTAATGAAGCTCAGCTGCCAGTGCAACTGGTTTCAGCATCACCTGCAAGCATTTGTAGAGCTGTTTCTATCTAAGCAGAGACAGTCCCAAATACGCATATATTGGTTCACTGGTTACATTGGTTCTTTGATTCAATAGTATCAATGTTAATGTCTTGATTTTTATAACTGTACTGTTGTTATGTAGGAAGATGTCCTCATTCGTAGGAAATATAAAGTAAGAGAAAAGGGACAACATACTTGCAATTTACTCTCAAATGTTTCATAAAAAATAATGTACTCAAACACATATAGAGTGAAAAAAAGAATTTTTTTAAAAGTAAATGTGTTAAGATTTTCACAACTGGCCAGGCACAGTGGCTCACGCCTGTAATCCCAGCGCTTTGGGAGGCTGAGGCAGGCAGATCATTTGAGGTCAGGAGTTCGAGTCCAGCCTGACCAACATGGTGAAACCCCATCTCTACTAAAAATACAAAAAATCAGCCGGGCGTGGTGGTACGTGTCTGTAATCCCAGCTACTCAGGAGGTTGAGGCGGGAGAATCGCTTGAACCCAGGAGGCAGAGGGAGGTTGCAGTGAGCAGAGATTGTGCCATTGCACTCCAGCCTGAGCAACAGAGTGAGACTCCGTCTCAAAAATTAAAAAAAAAAAATAACTACTGAGGAATGTGGATGAAGGATAATCAGAAGTCTTTGGTATTATTCTTACAATTTTTCTGTAAGTCTGGAATTATCTAACGTACAAAGTAAAATATTTTTAACCATATGTATCAGTGCCTGGCCAGACCAGTTACTCAAATCTCTGAGTGGGGACTATATATCAGTGTTTTAAAACTCCCCAATTAAGTATACAGTACAAGGGTTGAGAATCTTTGCTAATCACTCAATGCCTGTTTTTCCCAATATAATTTATTTATGTATGCTCTAGATGCTTGTCAAATAATATAGATGCTTTTGACTGTGTTTCCTCATTCTGGTGCATGTGGTCTACCATTAGTTTTGGTACGAAATGTCTAGTAGCTTTCTGGAGGGAGCTGCTGTGTGAGCATAGAGAGACGGGTGCACATTACCTGAGAGCAGCCCCTTTGTATAGGTACAAGGGAAACTAACGCTGAGCTAGAAAAAGGTGTAGATTTGTGTTTCAGATAAAATATTACCTTGTTAACATATTTGCATATTTACGTGCATATATGTATATATATGGCTATTTTTTTGTTTTGTTTTGTTTTGTTTTTGAGATGGAGTCTCGCTCTGTCACCCAGGCTGGAGTGCAGTGGCACGATCTCGGCTCACTGCAAGCTCCGTCTCCCGGGTTCACGCCATTCTCCTGCCTCAGCCTCCTGAGTAGCTGGGACTACAGGCGCCCGCCACCACGCCCAGCTAATTTTTTGTATTTTTAGTAGAGACGGAGTTTCATCTTGTTAGCCAGGATGGTCCCGATCTCCTGACCTCGTGATCTGCCCACCTCGGCCTCCCAAAGTGCTGGGATTACAGGCGTGAGCCACCGCGCCTGGCCGCATATATATTTTATACAGGTGTTTCTGCATGTATCTATACTAATATAAAAAGCACACTTTCTGGACTCCTGGGTAATTTTAAGTAAGGAGGGATTCTTTTCTTTTTGATAATAGACTGGGTCTCTCTGCCTGTCCAGGCTCTTCAGAATCATGCTTTTGTTCAGTCTGACTTCCTTGTTCTCCTGTTCTCCCTTAAGCTACCGTTCTACCCAAAACTGGCTAGAAGGCCTTTCTGTTTTCCCTTTCTGTGTGGTAGAGACTTCACTTAAATCATAAACTCAATGTCTTTATATCTCCTCAACCTCACTAGCACAGATCCCCAAGGCTTTACTCAATAGGTAAAGGGAAGCTTCTAGAATTTAGAAAACTTTTTAAACTAATAAAACGTGAATTTTGTGCTTAGCTTTGGCATCAATGAGTCTCAAAATATCACATGAAATTCTGAACTTGTTCTAAGCAGTATGGCCCATTCCTTCAAATAATGAACATTATTGAGTCAATTGGTCAGGAAATGTGTGGGACACAACTCTATTAGAGATTTGGGGGGAGCAAAAAGTCATTGCTTTAATACCTCAAAACTATTATCTGAATTTCACAGGTAAAACATAATCATGAGCAACAGCTACTATTTCTTCAAGACACTTCTTACTCAAACCCTCTTCTTTGCTTGCTTTGTCCTAACTGTCCCTAGCTCTCTTTCTTTCCCCTCTACCCTTCTGATTCTAACACCCCTCACCGTGTGCTCAATCTCTTGCTCTACTGACTCACACTGGATAAGATTCTTCTATTTTAATCTTCATTAATCAGTCTCAAACACAGCTGGCTCCATGCTCAGGTATAGCGGAGGAGGGAAGCTCGACTATGTACTAAGAAATTGGGGAGCAGCTTCCACGTGTTGAGTAAAGTTTACGGTCAGACAAAAGAGCATGAGTCTTAATTCATGACCAGGCTGAAAAATGTCCCAAGTTGCTGAAAATTGATTCTGGATGATATTTGGCAAGGTAACTTCTTCAATCATATGTCAAAATGAGTTACTGATGGAAAGCTAAGTGATCAAATCTCAATAAAGAAGCTGGATGGCCCATATTGAATACTGGTTATAGAAGACAAGAAGTGCAGGTATCAGCCAGAGTTTTCTAGAACACTTAAAATTCCGATCCCAGATATTTCGACCTAAGACAGTATGATGTATCCATTTTCTCCACCATGCCAGCAGGCTTAATGAATATAGATGGTTCACCTGGGCTCTGAAGTGGCAAACAGCAGTCACCCCTCCACAAAATCAATGAAAGCCCTGCAGAGCTGGACTCCCAACTGCATTTGTCACAAGGAGGCAACCAGCATTCATCGAAGACACCCAGAAATCCCAGCACCTCCTCATTTTTTCTAAGGTAAAGCCAACTTTTCAATGATGTTTTACTTCTTACCATTTAAGAACTTTATAGCACATCTTATAGTTTCAGGCTTATTATGTACTTAGATTCTGCAGCAAATTGGTAGGAGGTTGGGGAGAAGAGAAATTATGCCACAATGGTATTTGACAGAAGACATATCTCTGAGCTATCTGCTGCCTGATTAAAAAAAAAAAAAAGATTTTGCCAAGATAATCCATATTTACACTGGAGAGTTTGAAATAACTGTGTTACACCTGTAGATTAAACTAAGCCATCAAGAAGCCACATTAACTTGCAGAAAACTGCCCAGGCTCTCACAGTACTCCTACTAGGTTACATGTATCCTCAACATTTCCTGAGAATACTACAGAATCAAAGTTGTTAAAACCAATATCTTTTTTTAATACAGTCATTTCCTTACATACCCTACATGCTGCCTGGGCTCTTATAACCTATAGAGTCACAGATGGGAATTTTCAGCATAAGTGCCAAGAATAGTTTTACTTTTCTATGTGGTCAAAGGGACCCATGCAACTGTGATTATTCTCTTTTGCTTGGACCTAAGAACCTCAAAGACAAATTTTCAATTCAACTTTAATAACAATATTCAAGCCTGTGGGCCACCTGTATTGTGATCTTACATATTGCTTTTCTGGCTTGTTTTTTGGTTGGTTGTGATTTTCTATTTACTCCTTAGGGTTGTCTAAGGTAAGGAAGGATTGCTCTTCTGGTTTGTTTTCTTGCTGGTTGTGATTTTTTATTTACTGCTTAGGTTGTCTAAGGTAAGGAAGGAAAAAAAGAAAGAAGGGAGGGAAGAATAGAAGTAGGAAGGAAGGAAAAAATGAAAGAAGGGAGGGAAGAATAGAAGTAGGAAGGAAGGAATTTGCTGAAATGAGATTAGACTATTTAAGGACTCACCAATGGAGAGTATATCCTTTTCTCCTGCTTGATGTCACTGGAGAACAAAAAACTTTGATCACTTTCATGGGCACCAAATTCTTCTTAAAGAAATAAAAAAGATTCTTCAACACAAGCTATGTGGCTTATTTTAGCCAAATAGTAACAGTAGGCTTCACCTGCACAAAGGAGAAAAGTGAAAGCTAGGTGACCAGGAGAAAGACATTGGCCAAACCAACATAAGAGTTGCTCTCTTCTAAGCAGAACTGCAAAACTCTGCATAGTGCATGCTCACAGGACAAGGACCCTTTAGCCCCCTCTGGACCTACACCATCAGCTCTCACACAAGCCATAAGGAGTGACAGCAAGGGACAGTGCTGCTGTGTTAGATACACTTCCCTGGTGCTGCCCACCCCACCACTCAAATGGTATATCAAATGCCCCAAGTGTCTCAGCTCCCACCCAGCTGTGTGGCTATCCCTCTGGGACACTCTTTCTCTGTGATATCCTTACAACTTTAAGTGAAAGCAACAGAATCCTAGTAGAGCATAATGAAACATAGATTTAGAAACATATTGGAGTACATGAAACTTTAGTAGGCTCCTGAGAGATATAAACAGAACAAATAGCATGGTTTTTTGCAGAGCCATGGTTGAGATGGGTAGAAAAATCCCCATGGAATTTGAATAATATCCATTTGCATGTAGGCTTTCATGGGAATATTCCCACAGTTGTCAGAGTTCTATCCAGATTATAAACCACTGTAATAAATTAAATTTTTAAAAAGAAAGAAACAAGAGCCACAGTCCCTGGGTAGAGTTGATTGCTACCATTTTGTAAAGGCAGCCACAGCTGCAGGATGCCAAAGCCAAGAGGAGAGTTAGACCAACAACAATGTGATTCCCATGGGTCTGCATCTGCTTGTTCCTTCAGCTGGTGTGTTATCTCCCTCCAACAGGAACATAAATAAATGTTGCCTCAGACAGAAACTGCAGCATCAAATATAAAAGCTGTGTATTTGAAATTAATTGCTTTTTGGCACAATTCCCTAAAAAATGACATGCTTTCAGTTGAAGTGCTTCCATGTAAGGCCAATTAAACAAGAGGGGCAACAACTGGGCTGAGGTCAATAAGGGATGTTGGTGATTGTTCAGCAATGAGACAGGCTGTTCTGGTCACCATCTGTGGAAGAAAGCTAGGATGCCGTTTTCAACAGAGGTTGCCAGTTCCTGCAGGAAGCAAGATAACAAAAGGAAGCTCTGGTTAGAGCTTCAGAAGACAATTTTCCCTTTCTTCTAGTTCTGTCTTCTTTATTCATTCATCAGAGTTACCTCTATTCTTCCCAAGTCCTAATCCTGGGGAGAATCGGTCATTTGACATATTGAGAGACCTTGGTGTGAGCATGGTTCTAGGTTTATTCTGCCCAAGAATAGCTGTCAGTAAATCATACTTGATTTTAACAATTTAAAGTATAATTTGCATATCATAAAATTCACTCATTTAGAATATACAATTCAATAATTATAATATCACCACAGTACAGTTTTGGAATATTTTCATCACCCCCGAAAGATGCCTCATGCCCGCTTACATTTAGTCAATCGTAGTTCCCACTGCCAGTCTCATACAACCACTAGTGTACTTTCTGTATTTATATATTTATATACAATTTGGACATTTTATACAAATGGAATTATGCTGGGAAGGCAGGTAACTAACAAGTATCCACTATTCCAGGTAAAGAAAAATTAAGTATATAAACAAATTCTCCCCCTCTTTCCTTTTAGACTTGTAAGGGATTTTTCACATTTAAATCTTTGGTCCATTTGAAATTTATCCACAGTAAAGCTCCAGCTTTTTTCCAGATGTGGCCCAATTGTTTTAGTTTACTTTATGAAATGGACATATTTTTCCTATTGGTTTCAGATGCTACCTTTATTGAATAGTGAATTCCTATACGTTTTTGCTTTTAGTTTCCTATTGTAATTTTTTTTCCTATTTCTTTATATTCCATCAGTCTCTCTTTATGTGCCATTGCCACATCTTTAAAATTGTTTTTATACCTGGTAGTACTATCCGCACTGTTAGCTCTTATTTTAAAAATTGATTCTTGCCATTTGTATTCACCTATTTTTTTCACAATGAACTTTATCCTTGGTGGGGAAAACCTTTGTAATGCCACCCAAAATGCAGAAATCATTAATACCACGATATGTTTGTCTACATGAAATTAAGTTCTTCTGAAAGATGAACTAAAACAAATAAAAATCCATAAACGGAGTCAAAGTCAAAAGACAGTGCATCTTTTCAATAAACATTCTGCAACTCATATCATTGATGATGGGCTAATAATGCTGATGTACAAGGAGTTCCTAGAAATAAAAAGACCAAAAACTCAACAGAAAATAAGCAAAAATATATTAATGTATAATTCGCAGAACAAGCCTGTTCTTACCCGCCGTTAGACAGCCTCACATTCAGTCTTGCTTTTTCTTCTCTGGATGGTGGCCCTAACCAAGATAACTGTAAACAAATTCAACATGCTTTAGGTGAAGGAAGAAAATAGACAATCTCTGCTCTATTTTCAGATAGAAAATACGGCATGTGGGGTAGTGGAAGCCCACATACCAAGACCACTAAAGAAATCCACGGATGGTTGTAAACTATGATAGTATCTCAAATGAGGAATTAAGAAAGGGAAGTTATAGACTGGTTTTAGGATAATTATTAATCAAGACCTGGGCAGGGACTATTCAGAACTTATAAATCAGATGATTTGCTGGAATGAGCAATGGTTCTATCTTTGAAACACATGGATTCCTGCAGAGTTACTGTTAAAACGGTTTTTTTATGCTCTAAGCTTAGAACATACGAGTCTGAAGGTACTGGTATTCCAACAACTGGAGTTTTGATCGTTCTGTTGCATGTCATCATTTGAAGCATTTTATCTGTTTTGTGAGTCATAGTGCAGGATTACAGATTGTGATTCCTGTTTTCATTTCTCATGGTTTATATGGCACTTGGATATCCCCCATAACTAATCCATTAGGTATATACTATAATCTTCATTTTATTGATGAGAAAAGTGATGCAACAAGATTTTAAGTATTTTTGTCTAGAGTCTCAAGTTACTAAGTAGCAGAATTGGATTTTAAACCCATGTTTGTATGTCTCCAAAGCCTGCTTTGAACATTTATCCACATGCCACTAACACAGGGATTCTTTACTTGGTGTACATGAAATATCTCCAAGATGCTTCATAATTTCTGCAATATTGGATGCTAATTTTGGAATGTGTGTATTTGTTGGGGGGAAGGGAGATAATCCATTTATCCATCCAATTCTCAATGGATGGTTAGGTCAACTAACAAAAAAGTCTAAAAAAATCTTTGCCCTAGAGAAACTGTCTCCCTAAACTGAGGACAGCTCAGCCCCACCTTAGGGTAGGGAGAGGACATCTATTTATTTTAAACAGCAGAGTGAGCAGAGTGACCTCGTTCAGAGCTATTGAATGGGTTGGGTTTCTCATTTGTAGCTCTGCTGGAATAAAATAAAGAGCTGAGGGGAAGCAGACAACGACCTTGGATTGGGAACCAACAGAAAAGAGAATCCACGGTTTCTATCTAACCAGGGAAATTGCCTTGGGAAAGTCATGCAATACATCTGAAAGTCACCCAGTGCCTCTGGCTCTCTAAATCAAGTTCATCTATCCCAGACAGATCCAAAAAGAAAGTGATTTCAACAGAATTAATATATTCTCTATGTGGTTCATGCAAATTTGAAATAAAAACTAGACTTTCTAGTTTCTTCCAAGCAAGGTCTCTCAGAAGTCTGCCTTTTTAAAATGAAAAAAAAAAGAAATTAAATTCATAGTGTAATAGGTGAGCTTGTTTTCTCAAGAACAAGAAAAATTACTTTAACTCATTTGTTCATGTGACTAAGTTTTTCAAGTACTAATAGAAAAGGAGTTGAGAATTAACAAAAGAGGAGGTGATAGCTCACGCACGCGCACACACACACACACACACACACACACACCCCTCCATGAGCTCCTCCCTCATGGCTTGTTGCCAGCTATGATCTCCAGAACAAAGCATATAAAATTTCTTGAGAAGAGAGATTATAAAGTAACAGCAATGGCAAAAATATGCTTATAAAGATAAGGATTCAGCATTAAAACTGCCAAGCAGCTCAAAGGATGCTGCCAAAGTGAATTGTCTCTAGTTTGTGAATCGTCTCTATTTTGTGGAATCTGAATATTCTCTAGGTTTCTTTTAAGGCTTCATTTCAGGCTTTTCTTTTCTTCTGCTTATCACAATTGCATCCAACCTGCAGCTGTTATGCACATTTCAGAATAATTGTTTATTTCTAATAATGTATTGTTTGTCTAAATGGAGAAGGGAGAGATCAAACTCTTTCTGTCCATCTGGAGCTGGCGAGCAGCTGGATAAAATCAGGGAGTTGATATACTTCGTTCTCTAAGTAGCTCACCACCTTAACACTCCAGCCCAGCCAGAGCTGTTTCCCTGGATGTACGCTGGTCTGTGTCATCTCATCTTCTCCATTATTCTTCAGCCTTCTGGCTGGGGGCTTGGAATTTTCACCTCCTATGAAACAAGTGTCTGAGAATTCATGAGAAGAGACTGCCACACTAGGGCAGAGCACCTTCAATAGTCAGAGACTGAAATTAACCATAACCAGACAGCCTGCATGCCTGCAGTCAAATTATTCATATTATAGAGGAAACACAACAGCAATTTTGTGACTGAAAAAGATTGCTTAGATCACGCCTTGGCAAAACCATAAACAAGAATTAGGAACAAACAAAAAACAAAACAAAACAAACACAGTGCGCTTTATAGCCCTCAGGATGTTCAGCTGGTGGTGGCTCACATCTGGACTGTATGCCACCAAGAAACATTGAAATGAGTCTTTGCTAGAGGCTCTCTCTGAGAGCCAAAAGATGAACTAGTAACTTCGGAAATGTGCAAATGTGTATCTAATGTGAGCATTCTAAAGCTTGTCTGAGGAAAAGTACTTAAATTGGATACCTATGTTGTCCCAAGGTTTTATAATATACAGTTGACTCCTGAATAATGTGAAGATAATGGGTGCAGATCTGCCACACAGGCAGAAACGTGTTTACGTTTGACTCCCAAAAAACTTGACTATTAGGTTGGTGCAAAAGTAACTGCAGTTTTTGCCATTAAAAGTAATTAAAAGTAATGGCAAAAACTGCAGTTGCTTTTGCACCAACCTAATACTAACAGCCTACTGTTGACTAGAAACCTTACTGATAATATGAACAGTCAATTAACACATACTTTATATGTTGTATGAATTATGTACTGTATTCTTGCAATAAAGTAAGCTAGAGAAAAGTAATGTTATTTTTAAATTATAAGAAAGAGAAGATACATTTACTATTCACTAAGTGGAAGTGGATCATGATAAAGTTCTTCATCCTTGTGGTCTTCACATTTAGTAGGTTGAGGAGGAGGAAGAAGAAGAGGGATTTATCTTGTTCTTTAAGAGGCGGCAGAGGCAGAAGAAAATCCACATATAAGTGGACCTGCATAGTTCAAACCTGTGTTGTTCAAAGGTCAACTGTACAGTTAGTTCGTTTATTTTATTGTGCTGTGACATTAATATATGTAATCAAAAAATAGTAAATCTAGATATAACAAATAGTCTCAAGTTGGGATCATAACCATCCAAATTACTACATTGTTTGTCCATAAATTCCAAGAAGTCCAGGTTTCAAAGTCATTTCTTTATGGTCATTATGGCCTTCCAAGTTTGCTTATTCCCACATTTGGTACATGATCTGTGAAGTTATTGGGGCACTCTATTAGTCCATTTTCACGCTGCTGATAAAGACATACCTGAGTCTGGGTAATTTACTGAGGAAAAGAGGCTTAATGGACTCACAGTTCCACGTGGCTGGGGAGGCCTTACAATCATGGTGGAAGGCATCAGGCACATCTTACACGGCAGCAGACAAGAAAGAATGAGAACCAAGTGAAAGGGGTTTCCCCTTACAAAAAAATCAGATGCCTCAAGAACAGTATGGGGGAAACCACCCCCATGATCCAATTATCTCCCACCGCATCCCTCCCACAACATGTGGGAATTATGTGAGCTACAATTCAAGATGAGATTTGGTGGGGACACAGCCAAACTATATCAATCACCATAGTTTATAAAATACTTAAGAATCTAAGTTTCAGGGACTACAATCAATACAAATACAACCAGACTTTATATTTCTGGGGAAAATTGTTAGACTATCACTCTAAGACTAGCTTACTATCTTTCACCAGTCTGGGAAAAAATGGAAATAAAATCTTAGTACATCATACAGGACTAAGGTCAAATCAAAAATAGATAAGGCCTAATAAGTCCTGAAACTCAACTTTGATTAAATCATGGTTATTGGCCAATATCCTGCTTGGCCAACAGAAATATGTTAAATTCTTAATGTGGGAAGATAACGTCATCCAGAGACTCTAAAATGTTTTATAAGCAATGCCTGGCATTCAATGAAAATTACCAAACATGAAAAGAACAAGAACACATGAGCAAAAACAGACAACAGAAATAGACTCAAATGTGAAGCAGATATTAAAACAATTAGACAAGGACAGCGAAAAATCTATAATTAATATAATTAACACAATCAAGAAGTAGGTGCAGAATTTTACCTGGGAACTGGTATTTATAAGAAAGAATCAAAGGAATTTCAGAACTGAGAAAATATTGGCTAAAACTAAATTAATTCAGAAGATGAGTTTAACAAAGAATAAAGAACTAGTATATTCAAATCAAGAGATGAATTACACTGAGTATTAAAATGTATGGGACACAGTGGAAAGTTCTAATGTACATGTAATTAAAGAACCAGAAAGATGGAGAAGTATGAAGCAATATTTGAATACATAACACCTAAGAAACTTCTAAAACAGAAATAAGGCATCAAGCCATAGACTCAAGAAACTCTGTTAAAACCAATCAGGATTAACCTAAAGACAACCAAACCTAGAAACTTTATAGTAAAACAGCTCAAACTGAAGACAAAGACAAAATCCCAAAAGCAGCTGGATTACGCATTTCTATCAAAACCTACAGATATCACCAAACTAAAGGATGAAACTTTAGAATGATCTTTAATGCAGTGAAGGACAAGACGAAGGTTCCCAGTTTTTCAACAGTTCATTAATTCCAAGTCTTTTCTTTATGATCTTTATGGCCTTCCAGGTTTTTTTGTTGTTGTTATTCAGGTTTTTTGCTTCACATTTTAGGGATGGTTTTAGAAGCTAGAATTATGTAAGTGTCTACCCAAAGAAGCCATGATGAGTACAAATACAAACAGGTATTGTTGCCAGCCAATACAATGATATGAAAAAGAAATACATTTTAAGCATTTGAAAGATTTAGATTATTCTCCTTATTTAGATGCTGTTAATCTATTGGCAAAATATTATGACCGATTATAGAGAATAAGATTAATATACAAAACTTCATACTCTTCCTAAACACCACTAACTGAATAATAACAAAATTTCTGTGGAACTTGACAAGCTTTGATAAGTTGTATATCTTCTGCAAAATTAATCTTATTTTTGGCATTTTCATATCATTGATATGAAACAGCAAAGGCCAAAAATAACTTAAGATTAATTTTGCAGAAAAAATACAAAGCATAGGAATATGATATTAATACATACTACAAAGCATAGTGATTAATATTAATGCATGTGGTATAAATAAATATAATATGAAAAAAATAAATAGTACTTGCTATAGTTTGGATATTTGACCCCTCCAAACCTCATATTGAAATGTGATCCACAATGCTGGAGGTGGGGCCTATTGGGAGGTGTTTGGATCATGGGGCAAATCCCACATAAATGGCTTGCTGCCATTCTTACAATAGTGAGTTCTCACTCTATTCATCTTCATGACAGCTGGTTGTTGAAAAATATCTTAGCATCTTCCCCCTTTCTTGTACACAGCAGCTTGATTTCACCTTCCCCATGTGTGGAACCAGCCTGAAGCCCTTAACAGAAGCAGACACTGGTGCCATGTTTCTTGTATAGCAGGGGTGTCCAATCTTTTGGCTTCCCTGGGCCACATTGGAAGAAGAAGGATTGTCTTGGGCCATACAGAAAACACACTAACGATAGCTAATGAGCTTTAAAAAATTGCAAAAAAAAAAAAAACAACAAAACTCATATGGTTTTAAGAAAGTTTATGAATTTGTGTTGGGCTGCATTCAAAGCCATCCTGGGCTGCATGTGGCCTGCAGGCTGCAGGCTGGTCAAGCTTGCTGTACAGCCTGCAGAATTGTAATACAAATAAACCTCTTTTTTTAATAAATTAAATTACTCAGCCTTAAGTGTTCCTTAGCAACACTAAATGGACTATGAAAGTACTAAAAATAATTCATAAGAATTAAAATCTTCTATGTATTTGCTGTTTTTAGCATTTTGATTATTTTATGGTTAGAGATGGTTTTCTTAGAGTTTATCCTTCTTGGTGTTTATTGAACTTCTCAGACTTGTGAGTTGCTCTTTTTCATCAAATTTGGAAAATTCTTGGCCATTATCTCTTCAAATTCTTTTTGTCCTAATGTCTCCCCTATTCCTCCTGGACCCCAAGTACAATCCTATTAAACAGCTTATTATTGTCCCATGAGTCACCAATGCACTCTCTCATATTTTTTTCAGCAAGTTTCCCTCTGTGTGTTATGCTTTATAGTTTTTGTTGCTATGTCTTTAAGTCCATTGATTTTTTTTCTATATAATCCAATCTGCTGTTAATGTCATCAATATTCCCCAATCTGTTTGCTCATTGTGTTATCTTTTTCTTTAAATTTCAGGCATACTATAACTTTTTAAAGTCCTTGCCTGCTAACTCCAACATATCTTCTATCCCAGCCTTTTCCTGTTTGTCAGGTTTTTCTTCTGGTTGTAGCTCACACTTTCTTATTTCTTCCCATATCTAGTAATTTTTCTTTGTATACTAGACATTGTATATGTTACATAGTTGAGAACCTAATTTTTTGTGTGTTCCATTAAAGAATGTTAAGGTTTATTCTGGCAGGTAATTGACTGGAAGATAAGCTTGATCTTGCCATGGCTTACTGTTAGTACTTCTTAGTATAGGTCCAGAGTAACCCTTATTCTAAAATAAGGTGTAACCCTACTCGAAGACAGAGTTTTTGGCATCTCAGCTAAATGCGTGGCTGAGATGCCCAAAGCTGCCTGATCAGAAATTTAACATCTCTCAAAACTGAATGATATCTAAAATACTAGTTCAGCTTGTGGTGCCCTGCAGCATTTCTCTGTCACAACTGAAGAAATTGCATGCCATGCCAGTATAGTTTAGTATTAAGCCAAGAGTTAAGGGGTACCTATGCAGATTTATAAAATTCCTTCTCTGAATATATGTTTTCTCCAGTACCATACTCTGTACATTTCAGCCTTGCAGCATCCCCAAACTCTGATCTCTGTTTCTTCTACCCAGAAGGACAGTTACTTTCTGCTTGTTCCAATTCCCTGTGCAATTGTTTGGAACAAGCACCAGCCAGAAATCCAGGGTGAATGTTGAGCTCTCCTTGAGTATTTCCATTTGCTCAAGGATCAAAGCCTTGCACTACCTATTGTTCAATATCTGAAACCAGTTGCTTCAAATATTTAATCCAGTTCTATAATTGTTTATAGCAGGAGATTAACCCTATAACTATCACTCCATCAAGGAAAGAACAGGTAGTCTATCTAATTCTTTTAGCCTCTTCCACATTTCAGTTTTACATTTATCTTTGTCTCTCTATTATCCTCTCCATTGCATCTATTCATCCTTGCGTTCCTCATAATTTATCTTTTATTCTTAAATGGTTTTTGTCTTTTTCTTCCATTTCCTTTCTGAGCTCTACCAACTTTTGTTTTATACTTCCCTGTTTTTGATTTTTTCTACTCTGAGTCATGTACGCTTTCACATATGCAATTGCTCATTTAACAATATTTAACTCATAAACAGTATTTGTTACAATGTTCTTCATTTTCATGACTTTTTGGCAACATTTTAATATGCTAAAGGTTTTGATACTAATTTACATTTTCTTATAATAACTTTACACAGGTGCTGGTTTCTTATGTTTGTATTATTATTATATCAGATTTTTGCAATACCAGGAATGTGGACATTCACAATACCAGGAAATTCCATGGGGAGAGGAGTTTTATAAGTAGGGAAAGGGAGGGCAAGTGGTTTCATAATTCAGAAGTCAGAATTGCCATATTCAGTTTCTACAGTGAAAAACAGGGTTTTTCTCCCTCTTTTTTCCCCCTCTTTTTTTCCCTTATTTTGGAAAACTATTTTGTTTCAGTAGGTTCTTTATCTGAAATAGGAAGCCTAAAGAGACACCAACAGCCTCAAGGTACCAGTAATTCCCCAAAAGAGGGACTTACCAGACTTCCACTTCCTTTTGACTTCCCAGTGACTCTGATCCACTAGATTACAGATATCTTCTTAGGATTTGCCAACCACAGTGGGACCTTTTTCTACTAGAGGTAAAATAGTTAATGTGGGGAGTTATGGTTTCTGCTTGAACATGTAAATAGCTTGGAAGTCATCACCTCCATCTTTACAAGGGAAATCTGAATAAACTAAAAATCAAAGACTTTTCTTGGACCCACCAAGAGAATTGAGGTCATGGGGCAAACCAACTCCCAAATATGGAGAGAGGTACATGCAGAAAGATACAGCAACCAATATCTTACTTGGAGCAGAAGCTTCTAGAGACATAAACTGGTATAAACACTTAAATGGTGACTTTGATGAATTTCTGGAGGCTAAGTGTTTACTAGCATGAGATTGAGAAGGAGTTCCCACACTTTTGTGGTCCTTCTCTTCAGTAGTTCCACTAGGTTGACATTGTATGTATCTCAAAAATATGTCCTCATGGCTCTTTTAAGTGGAGTGGAAGAACAGCCAGTGTAAAATATGCCAGCTGTTTCTAAAGGAAAAAAAAAAAAGCCCACTTGCCAGGAAAAAGAAGATGGCCAGCACTCAATTCTGAACCCTTACTCCAGAAAGAGAAGAGAAATTCTTCCAGCTCAAGTCTCCAGTTTTCCTACGTCACCTAAAGCAGTAGAAAACACACTAGTTCACAGAGATTAGAGTTCAAATAAATAGATTAGGAATATTGCAGCCAGAAAGGTAGGAGGGACAAAGAGACAAAAGCTACACCACTGGAGAAACACTGGTGAAGATCACAGCCTCAAACACCGAGGTAATAGAAGGCTGAGACTTAATCAGAAGATTATACAGGGGGCCAGTGTAATAACTGTGCTTGCAGCTGTAAGAACTGCAGGAGAAAAATGTTCTTTAAGGAATAGAACATAGAAAAACCTACAATCAAGAAGTGAAACAAAAACAAGGATGCTAGAGGAGATTGAAATGTTTGGTGCCTACATCTATGAGCAACACTAAACACGACCCAACTCCTAACCAGAATAACGTAAGTCCTCAATTTACCTGTTTCCCATTACTCAATATAAAAAAGCAGAAGACATGCCAGAAGAAGAACATACACAATCTGAAAAGATAAAGCAAGCATTAGAATAAAACATATGACACAGGTGTTGGAATTATCAGACAGCACATTTAAAATAACTATGATTAATATGTTAAGAGTGCTAATGGTAAAAGTAGCCTAAGCAAAAGCTTTAAGAAAAAATCAAAATGAAATGCTAGAAATAAAAAAACACAATAACAAAAATGAAGAATACTAATATACACTAATTATAGGCTCATTAGTATACTTAGCACAACTGAGGAAAGAATAGATAAACTTGTTGACAGGTCAATAGAAACCTCTTGAACCAAAATAAAAATAAAAGACTGAAAATTTAAAAATAGAACAGAACATCCAAGAACTGTGGGACAATTTCAAAAGATGTAACATACACATAATTAGAATGCCAGAAGGTAAAGAAAGTAAGAGCAAAGGAGAAAAAATATTTGATGTAATATTGGCCAACAATTTGCCAAAGTTAATAACAGGTATTACTTAGGTAATGTTGAAAGAAAAAAAAAATCAACTCAGAATTCAGACCTAACAACTAGGAACATTAACCTTCAAAAGTGAAGGAAAAATAAATAATTTCTCAGGCAAACAAAAACTAAGGGAATTCATTAAGGGAAGAACTTCCCTGCCAAAAATTTAATAAATATAAAAAGAAGTTTTTCAGTGATAAGGAAAATAATATAGGGCAGAAACTTAGATCAACATAAAGAGTATCTGTATGAAATATATGAAGGCAAAGTAAATCTTTATTTTCCTATTCTCAAATAAGCTAAAAGATAACTGTTTAAAGCAAACATATTAACAGTTTTAAAAGAAGTATAATTGCTATCCTAAGAGAGGAGATAAAATAGAAACATAAAAAATACTCAGTAAGACTAGAAAGGACAGAAAAAGTCAGAATAAAATAAATAAATGACAAATGTAATAAATAAAAGTTCCAAAGATGGTAGATGTCAATGTAACTGTAGCTATAATCACTTTAAATGTGAATGGACTAAATATACCAATTAAAATACAAAGATTGTCAGGGTAAATATTTTTTTAAAGACCCAACTCTATATTGTCTACAAGAAACTCACTTTAAGTACAAAGCCTCTAATAGGCTAAAGTAAAAGAATGGAGAAACATATACCATGCTAACACTAATCAAGAGAAAGCTTGGCAGATTATTAATTTTAGACAAAGCAAACTTCAAGGTAAAGAAGATTATCAAGCATAAAAAAAGGCATAACTTAGTAATAAAAGAGTTGGTTCTTTAAGACATAATTTTAAATGTATAAGCACCTATCAAAAGAGTATCCAAATACATGAGACAAAAACTGATAGAACTGCAATGAGAAATAGACAAATCCACTACACTTTCAGTAATGCATAGATCAAGAAGGGAGAAAGTCAGTAAGGGCACAAATGGTTTGAACAGCATTATCAATCAATTGAAACTAATAAACATTTATAGGGTACTCCAGCAACAGCAGAATACACATTCTTCTCAGGTTCATAAGAACATTCACCAAGATAAACCACATTCTAGCCCGTAAAACACAATGAATTTTTTAAAATATAAATTATATGAAGAATGCTCTCAGAACACAATAAAAATCAATAACAGAATGATAGCTAAAACATTCCCAACAGTTTGGATTAAACAACACTTCTAATAAGCTATGGGTCAAAGAAGAACTCTCGAGAAATTTAACAATATTTTGAACTAAATGAAAATGAAAATTTATGGAATGCAGTGAAAGCTGTGCTTACAGGAAAATGGATGGCATTCAATGCATATACTAGAAAAGAAGAAATTCAGTAACCTAAGCTCCTCCCTTAGTAAACTAGAGGACGAAGAGCCCATTATACCTAAAGTAAACAGGAAAAAAGGAAATAATGAAAACTATAGCAGAAATCAATAAAATTATAAACAAGAAAATAATAGAGAAAGCAATAAAATCAAAGACTCATTCTTTAAAAAGATTAATAGCATTGAAAAACCATTTGCCAGACTAACCAAGAAAAAAAGGGGAAGTCACAAATTATCAATATCAGAAATGAGGGAGCAGTCATCACTACCAATCCCATGGATATTCGAGGAATAAGAAAGAAATGCTACCAATAACTCAATGCACACGTATTTGATAACTTAAATGAAATGAACCAACCCTTTGAAAGATACAAACTACCAAGTTACAAAAGGAGAAAGAGCTAACTTATATAGTTCTACATCTATTATGAAATTGAATCAACAATTTAAAACATTTCTAAAAACAAGGAATCTGGCCCAACTTGTTTTACTGGTGAATTCTACCAAATATTTAAAGAAGAAATAATACCAATCTCTTTCAGTAAACAGAAACAGTGTTAAATTGCTGTAACTTATAATAAAATATTTCCTTAAGTAAAATGTATTTAACACCGTATAAGAGTTGTCAAATAAGCATTAGCATACAAATTTAAGATAACAGAAACTTGTTCAGATTCAAGTTGAGTGCAGATCTCTACTTCTCAGAGACAAGTTGGGGAGTCTTTGCATGGTTTCCTGGATGGCCTATCTCGCTTTCACTGCAGCTGTATGCAAGAAAAGGATCACGAGAGAGGTGAGTGGTGCACTGGAGCAAAAAGTCAGGTTCTCCATTTAATGCATTTATCAGCAAGGCAAGATAAATAAACTCCTCAGTTGTCTACAAAAGGGAGCTAAGAGAGTTAGGGAAGAAATCTGAAGAATTTTAATAATTATCTACTGGGAAATTATGAAATGTTCTTACTTTATGATAAAGATTTATACTGAGTCTGAGAGACTATCCTCAAATTTGGGAATTAAGCAAATTTTAGGAAGAATTGATCAGTGATAGTTTCATTAGTGAGAAAACCTAATAGTTTCTTCTTATTATTATTTTTACTATTACTACTCTAAAAACATATATAAATGTGGTATTGTTTAATGTTTCTGTGCCGGATATTTAATGAAATAATATGATTCATTTTTAAAAGAGAGTACTACTTGAATTATGAAAAAAGGAATAACTAACATTGAATGAGGAGGTCTAATAAGTACTGGATGTGAAGTTTGGCATAAAAATATGACCTCACCAAAGAAACTCAATTATATGTTGGCAGCATACTATAATTGTGAGCAAAATGCTAAAAAGAAAATTTATAACTCCTAAAGTGAGATAATCACATCAAAGATTTTAAAATATTGACAATGCTTTTATGACATTCCCTCATTCATTAGCCTAGAGTTCAGTGAAGTTTTACATTTTTGAAATAGCATCGAATCTCTTAAATATTGTTTTGTTTGTTTTCATGAAAAGAATATAGGAATATTGGCCAGGCACGGTGGTTCACACCTGTAATCCCAGCATTTTGGGAGACCAAGGCAGGTGGATCACCTGAGGTCAGGAATTGGAGACCAGCCTGGCCAACATGGAGAAACCTCACCTCTGCTAAAAATACAAAAATTAGTTGGGCATGATGGCACACACCTGTAATCCCAACTACTCGGGAGGAAGAGGCCCAAGAATCGCTTGAACCCAGGAGGTGGATGTTGCAGTGAGCTGAGATTGCGCCACTGCACTCCAGCCTGGGTGACAGAGCGAGACTTTGTCTCAAAAAAAAAAAAGAAGAATATAGGGAATATTGTACCAGATATTATTAAGAGACTTCCAGACGTTTCATTGCTTAATACTTTCTTTCTTCAAGTAACAGACAATGAGTATAAATAAAGAAATGATATAAAATGTTATATATCATAATTACCTGGGGATATTTTTCTACATGTTCTTGCTCCTTTCTCCACTCCACAAAGAAAGAAAGAGAGGGAGGGAGGGAGGGAGGAAGGGAGGAAAGTAGTTCCTCTGGGTATTTCTGAAAATCCCTCAAGCACTATCATTATCAAAAAGAAAACACTGGGATGGGAGCATGTCAAAATATTAAGTAACCCAAGGAACACAGGGCAAAGCCAGACAAGCAGCCAGTAGGCAAGGACCACCCAGAGCCAGAGGAGAAACAGGGTGGCATTGGAGGGCCAGGAAAGGGCTGGAGAGGGGCAGCAGACACACCAGTTGAGACATAAAGGGAACCTGGAAACACAGGCAACACCTGCCTCAGACAAGGAGCTCCCTATTCTTCTTCTCCTGCATAAACCAATGACTCTGACCTCCCTGAGCACAACTAGTAGTTGAATTAACAGGAGCTAGTAGTTGAATTCATAGGAGCTAGTAGTTGAATTAACAGGAGCTATGTGCTATGACAAAGAGAACATGGTTAACTTTTGGAAGGGGTCCGAACCCAACTGAGTGGGAGGTGGGTGTCAATGCTGTCATTATGAGGCACACAGACAAACCGAGGGCATCAGATGCAAATGCGCGGGTTTACGAAGGAGCTTAAAATTCCAACGTGCAAAGACTAGATGCACTAACTGGACATCAATCAAGGAAAGCAGAAGTCTCGGAGTTTCTGAAATCTGTGCTATGGGAGAATACTCAGAAGATTCTTCTCCATGACTCCAGATGGCAGGGGCAATATTTATGAAGGACCAGGAGGCAGGTTTGGCCTTAACATAGAGACAGCCCTTCTAACAGGTAAAGATGGAACTGCATAAATTAAACCGCAAGATGTTCAGAGAGTACACGGCTACTTGGTGGGAATGTCGAAGAAGGAATCGAAGCATAAGATTTAGATACCAAGGCATTCCTTGCCCTTACCGGGATACCCTGACTTTATATCAGACGCAGAATACCACAGTGAGTGAAAATCAGCCTGTTCAAATCCTGGTTCCACCACTCAGCCCAGGAGATCCGGGCTAACTACTTTCAGCTTCAGTTTCTTCATCTGTTTAAAGGAACTAGGGACAGTACTTATCTCACAGGGTTGTGAGCTTCTTTAAATAAGATGATAAATATCACCTGCTTACCTTGAGCCTAGCACTGTCAGAACCTAATAATGTTTGCTACGACCATCATTTAGAAATGAATGAGGGCAATGTGCAGCAATTCAGTTTGTCTGCACCATGCAGATACAGGCAATGCTGGGAAGATTCAACCGATGTTCCATGAGTTTCTCCCATGTGTGGACGTGGTGCAGTTAGAGAGAAAGAAAATCCCCAACTCCAGTACCATATGGTAGGCGCTCCAGAAGTGAGAAAAACACATCAGTCAGTAATCGATTTTAAGGAATGATTGCCAAGTTTATCCCTGTAAACAATAACTACAGTTGCTCGGTGTCTGTAGGGGATTGATTTCAGGACCCTCTGCAGATACAAAAACCCACACATACTCAAGCTTCAGAGCTGGCTCCACAGAACCCACGTATCACAAAAAGTCAGCCCTTCATATCCGCAGGTTGTGCACTGAGGGAATACTACTATATAATCTGCTGTTGGTTGCCGATGCAAAACTCCCAGATACAAAGGGCCGGCTCCATTGATTGAAAAACATCTGTTTATAAATGGCCTGTGCAGTTCAAACACATTGTTCAAGGGTCTACTTTATTTGCAAGAGGAGCTGAAATAGAAAAGTTCCATTTTAAAAATAAGCGTACAGAAGTATAATCTTGACAGAAAATTTGTGACACCCTTACAAAGAGAAGTCATACATCAGATCTATAGATAAGGAGAGACAGGCAGAGAAGGATGGACCTGCCCCAGATATTACAGCATGTCAGGAATGGAGGGCACATGAAAACTTGTAACCAGAGGCAGTGGGGTATGGTGGGGAAAACTGCATGACTTGGACCTGCACAAATGTATTTTGGACTCACTTCTGCCACTAAGTATCATTATTTCTCAAGGAAATTGCCAGGAAACTCCAGGCTATCTCAATTAATCTCTTGGAGTCTTCGTTCCATCCACTACGACATAAAATGGTACCGCTGGATGGCCTCCAGGGTCTCTTCTGGCTCTGTGCCCGTAAAACCATAAACCACAACAAATCACCGTTAAGTTTCCAATTCTACAGGAATCCAACATTTTGAGGAACAACCTATACAACTCCAGCAAAGAAGCACGTTTCTTTTTGTCTCTGGCATACATGGTTGGCATCAACCCGGAAACATCATGAGCAAAAATGCATGCAAAATTAAATCATTCTAACATGGGAAAAAAGATTATAGAAATACCCTAAAAGGAGAAAAAAAGGGGCAGTCAGCTGCTTCTGGATGCTGGGTAAAGAGGTTTAAACACATCCCCTGAATCCTTGTCAATTGCCTATAATTACAGAATAATTTTTGCATTATTTATGCCTTCCCTTTTCAAATGCATAATCAATTCCGTAATTTTGGCTGAATGAGCAGTCAAAATCCAATTCAAATTTAATTATTATAAATAAAGATGCCAGAAAGAGGGGCTATTTAAAAAAAAAACACTAATATAGTATCACCCTATGCTTAGCTTCCTTTATCATTGTTGACACTTCAAGTATAACTGTTGGGGGAAGCATGCTGTGTCATGATAGCTCTCTGGTCCCTTTAATAACTGGGATCACACCAATAATGAGGGCCAGTGAACCCTGAAATAAGCCTCACCAAAGCAGGAAGATGGTCAGTGATTCGATTCTTCTGGAAACTTTAGGAGATATATCTCTGATATGAATTAGAAGTGCCTTTACTGTTTGGGCGCTGGCTGGCGCTGCCTTCAGAGTGATGTGACTTGTATTTGAGCCCTTATTTTAACATTTACCGCCCTGTTAATGCAAAAGCCAGTTAACCTCTCTGCACCTAGAATAATTAAACTGCAAAATCAGAATAATAATTCAGGCTTCATAAAGTTGTCATGAATACTAAATGAGGATTTACACCAAAATGCTTGGATAAATCAGCTTGTAAAATTAAAATGCTGCTATGATTTTGCCTAAATTAATTTTAGTATTTTGCATTCCTAATAGTCTGCAAAGAAGCCCAATGCCCTGACTTCATTTCAAATTTCAGTTCAGAGGCTTATTTTATTGTTGATTCCAAAGATTGCTGTGAACATCTTATTTGAACTTTCTAGAAATGAGTTCTGTTGGTTTCACTTGAGTTTCAACTCTACCTATGTGATATTGGGAAGGTCATTTAAGATTCTTAATTTATTCAAATGAAAATGTGAGAGTTGGAGCAGGTAATCTGCAAGGTTCTTTCCAGCATTAATTCTTATATCATGTAATCCCATAAATTACCTGGGTCATGAGATGTCATTTCTCCATTTGCTTTCTTCCTTGTTGCTACCATCCATCGACTGAACGAGGTCTCTCCATTTGTTCTGAAAGTAAGGGAGTCAAAATCTTAGTTACAATGCAAATGTACAATATTAGGTTGGCAGGATTGTTCAGAAGAGGGCATCTGTTGAAAAAGATGGAGGAAGTGTAACAAAATATGTTAATAGAAATAAAATGTAGGCAAATGTACAGATCACAAGAGACAGACAAAGCTGCAGACATAAGGAACAATTGGCATAATTTCAACTCCTGGTGGCGGAAGGGGCACCTAGCACACAATGGGGTTTTGATCAAGTAGCCTGAAGATTTCCCAGTGGCCCAGACACTCCTACCCTCACCTTTTGATGGTAATATTATAAAAGGTGTGAATTGCATGAAAATGCAAGAATCAGCACTGTAGAGACATTTGTCACATGGCTCGTCTACCTCGGAGGAGTCCGGAAATTATGCCACGCAAAGAATGAGCTCATGACGGAAAGAATCTATGTTTTGTATAAAATTATTGAATCGAGATTGCACATGACCAAGAGCAGACCTGCTCTTTCTTCCTCTGGTTCCATGGCCACAGGTGTATAAAGAATCCCTTATCTGCCCCTATCTGTGTGCTCATGTTCCTGCTGTCTTGTTACCAGTGACTTCACTGCCTGGAGGTGCCCTGGGCTGAGAAAGTGAAAAGGCAGAATCTGGTGGCAATCCAGGGTGGCCACTGCATAGATGTCCTCTCTGCCCTTGCTGTCACCCATGGCAGTAGACACTTAGTATGCCGAAATGTCACATTATTTTTTAAAAAGTGAACTCAATTAGCCCTGGATCCCCAGTTTTTCTGAGGACAAAATCAAAACCAAAATGAAACCCTCCTTACTCAAGACTTTAAAGTATTAGCCCTTTCCAGTTCAAACAAGCTCATTCTTCATAATTAGTTCTCATTACTAAGTCAAATTCAAGTTTAAAATGTGGTCTGTTACAGATTCTTCCAGTCCCCTTTTCTCAGTCCGGTCTGCTGGTACAGAAAATATATTGTATTTTTCTTGAGAGGCCTCAATAATCTTGCCTCACTCATTAAACCCTGCCTTGGTTAGCATTAGTGATGGTCATTCCTTTAACCCGGTCCCCAGCTTAAACCCTGTATTAGTCTGTTTTCACACTGCTGTTAAGATACTACCCAAAACTGGGTCATTTATAAAGGAAAGAGGTTTAATTGACTCACAGTTCCACATGGCTTGGGAGGCCTGAGGAAACTTTACAATCATAGTTAAGGCGAAGGGGAAGCAAGGACTTTCTTCACATGATGGCAGGAGAGAGAAGTGACAGCAAATTGGGGAAAGCCCCTTATAAAACCATCAAATCTCATGAGAACTCACCATCGCAAGGACAGCAGAGGGGAAGCCACCTCCTTGATCCAATCACCTCTCTCTCTCGACATGTGGGGATTACAATTCAAGATGAGATTTGGGTGAGGACACAGAGCCAAACCATATCAGAGCCTTTACATCAATAAATGAAAAATAAATTTGATAATATTTCAAATATTATTGATATTATTCACCACGATGCTTATCAATCTTTGTTTGAATAAAGCCATATTTTATTATGAATACTCAAGAAATTAAGATTAGAAAATAAAAAAAAGTAGAATGGGAAACGGAAGTGAGCAGGCAACTTCTGCCATTTCCATCTGCACACCTTGATTTATTGCATCCTGATTTATTAATGGCATTTTTCTTGGTTCAAATTTTTCACACTAATGAATAACCATATATATCTATTCTTAAATATGCAAGTATTTCTATAACTATTAGAAGTAGAATTGCTGGATCAAAGGGGCAAGTGCATGTAAACTTTAAATAGATGATGGCTTTTTTTCCATCCAAATAAGTTATACTAAAAAGCAGATTTCCCAGGGACAATCACAGCTACTTAAGCTCCCGAGATTGAACCAGCAGGAGAGCAGCAGGAAAATAGATATTTTGAAAAAGTTCTTGAGATATTTGTGTTGGGTTTTCATGAAGGTCAGAAAGCCCTTTCGCTCCCAGGTGGCCTGGTGAGACTGGCATCTCATCTGCAGAAGGAGTGCATTTGTAGGCCCAACTTTTATCTTCTGGGTCTGCATGTACACGTTGCACCTGGCCCTCCATTCAGAACAGCATGCTGAGGCTCTCCCGTTGACACAACTATTGAAGGTAGAAACTTTCTAAGCCAGGCCTTTCAGACTTGGCTCCTTTAAATAAGGAACTGAGCAGAATGGGCTGTGACCAGTGATGTCATCCAAGGCAAATGATTCTTTGATACACACAGATAAATGTCTCCTTAGAAACATGCCCCTTGGAAAAGCAAAAACCAGCCTCCAGTTGAGGCATGTGCACAGTCAGCATGAGTTACAGGAACAGGGACAGTAAATTCATTTCTTTACTTACCACCTACTGAGTCAGGCTTACAGAGAGCCCTGGATTAACAAGCACTGTATGGCCAACAGAGGGCTTTTATGCTGCAAGATAAACATGTGCTTTCTCAGGTTATAGCATGTTCAGGATATCCTCCCAGTTCAGGGAACTCACTCAGCAAGGATTTGCCACTTCCTGTTGACTCAGGGGACCACTCCAACATACTTAGACTGATGACGACCTCATTGCACCCAGAGGAAGACAGGATCACGTGTAAGGGTGAAACAGGGCTGGGAATGACCACACCCTGTACAACGGCAATAGTGTTTTCTCTGGTTGAGAGCAAAGACATCAGAGCCAATAAGGGAGGCTACAAATTTCCACCTCTTGAATTCAACCCAATCCAGCCAGTGGAGCAAGCTGGTGTGTGTGTTGGGGGACGGAGGGGCGGGGAGGGGTGGTGGTGTATGTTGAGAATAAAAAAAATGCAAAAATAGTCCCAGTGATGACTTTGACTCTCCTTTAATCCCATACCCAGGTACTTACTTCCTTGGATTTCCTCCATCCACACATCTACTAACCTAGTTCAGTCTGCCCTGCCCAATATGGAAGCCACTAGTAACATGAGGCTATGTAAATTTAAATGGATTAAAATTAAGTAGAATTTAAAATTGTATTCTTCAGTCATACTGACCATATTTTGAATACTCAACAGCCACTTGTCGCCCATGGCTATGATAATGGACAGCACAAATACAGAACATGCCCATCGCTGCAGAAGTTTCTGTCGGGCAATACTGATTTCCTGAGACCTTATGTATTTTGGTCTCTATGGTAGGCTCTGTCTTCTAGAAGCATGCAGCCCAGTAGAGAGACAGACATTAACCAAGAACTCTCTCAAATAAATCAGCAATAACAGTTTGGGATAGTGCTACAAAGGAAGGTCTTGGAGAGAATACAGCATCGAGTATTTTTCTTGCCTACATGATCCCAGACAACTGCGTTGAGGAGTGAGGTTAGAGAGAAGGTCTGAAGAATCTGAAAGAATCGCTTCCCACTAGAATGTGTGTATCTGTGGCATGGTGCAGGATGGGATGGGGATAAAGGCATTCAACACGCAGACAGAAGAAGAAAGAGCAACAGAAAATAAGGGTCCAGAATGTCTCCGGGCTTTTCAGTCTCTGCTTTGTTTTCAACCTCAAACAGATTCTGCTGTCTGATTCATCCTGCCCCCTGATACATCCCCAGGCACCCAGTAGAAATAAGGTTTTACCCAAGATATTAGTAACTCAGACTGGGAAAAATAAGGACTTTTAATTCCTAAAATTTAAATGAAATTAAAACTGCCATCCTCTGCACATCTCTAGGAAAATGTCAGGCTCAATTTGCCAACTGCCATCCTAGCTAAGGAGGAAAGGAGAGGGCAGTGCACTTTTGCAGGCAGATCCAGGCAAACACAGAGAGAGAACCATGGAGTCTACAGTGACCTATGGTACACAGAGGAAGGAGAGGAAACATTAGGAAAAATCTGACTGCCCCTGGGCAGAGGAAAATAAGGACAGGAGAAAGGAAACCAAACGCAAGTGAAATTAATTAAACAGAATATTTGTAGCAGGGCTCTAAAATTAGGCCGAGATGGAAAAGTTTTCATCTGAACATCATTTGTGGAATTATCTTACGATTTACATGTTTCCTCCCTAAACAGATGTTTTGAGAAAAAAATTGTAAAGGAAAGCCAGCATTTATAACAAAATTTCCAAATAATATGCTAGTTTGCTTAACTGAAAGAATAAGTACAAGGGTAGAACTGAATGTTTAATTTTAATACACAAAAGGCTCAAGTTGGAAAACAGCTACTATTTAATGTTCCCTTCTAAAGTAGTCGAATGAAAATGAACTTTAAGCTTGCTGTTCTAATGAGAGAAACAAATGATTAAAAGAAGATTCTTAAAATAATCCCAAACTTTGTTTTAATCATTGGTTTAGGAGAAATTTGCACAAGGAATTGTTGAGTAAGAAAACAAAGAAGCAGATAAAGATGTGTGTCGTTTTTAAAGAGCAAACAATGAGAAAAACCTACAAAAGTCGGTAGAAAGACTGTAAAAGATGGGTACCCGTAAGATACAATAATTCTATTTTGGTAAACATCAAACAAACAGAAGCCATACATTGTGTATGTTTGTGTAACTGGCTTATCAGTTATTTCTCTTTTATTGCATTTCCCATATTGTATTGGAGTTATGTGTATATAGTTGGTTTTTTCTGTGAAATCAAGTTTCTGCCCTCATCTCTGTATTTCCACTACCCAGTGACAATCTGTGGCACACAGGAAACATGGACTGAATTGTTGTTGCATGAACAACACCAACTAGACCAAATGGCACAACTGGGGGAGAGCTACATGGGAAGGAACAGGAAAGCATAGGGCTTAGGATCAGAGAACAGTGACTAGGGCATGAGGGGAGGTGGCCACATGGTTGTAAAGGCTCTTTATGTGACTCAGATGCTACACCAAATACAGGACTGACTCCATAATCTGCAGATCTCAGCGCAAAACAGTGACTACAGAACGATAAACCAGGCATGGGGCCCTTCTAAGCCCACGGGTCCTATACAAGTGCTCATGTTACACGCCTTTGGAGCCAGCCCTGCAGACAGGCACTAAAGGGTCCCTGATAGACTTTAAACAGGAGCAAGCTGATGAGATTTAAGAAAGGGCTTTAAGAAAAATCACTGCAGGCTGGACACGGTGGCTCACGCCTGTCATCCTAGCACTTTGGGAGGCTAAGGCAGGAGGATTGCTTGAGCTCAGGAGTTCAAGACCAGCCTAGGCAACATGGCAAAATTTTGTCTCTCCTAAAAATAACAAGCCAGGTGTGGCGGCATGTGCCTATAGTTCCACTACGCAGGAGACTGAGATGGGAGGATCGCTTTTGTCCAGGAGTTAGAGGCCACAGTGAGCTGTGACGGTGCCACTGCACTCTAGCCTGGGTGACAGAGTGAGACCCTGTTTCAAAAAAATAATAATAATAAAAATAAATAAATAAAAATATCTACAGAGGCATTATAGATCATTGTTAGCAGGAGGCCTGGAAAAGCCTCTTAGAAGAAAATTGCACCAGCCATAATGATTAGAAGAGCCTGAACAAACCAGTCAGTAGCAATAGAGCTGGAAAGGTACAGACGGGTCCAAGAGAAAACTAAGGAATTAGGAATCATTATGCAAATTGCACTGTGATCGGGGATTTGGGAGGAAAGTTAAGGGCAGAGGAAAAGGAAGGACAGCAGAAAGAAAACCAGATGCAAGTGAAATGAATCACATAGAACACTTGTAACGTGGCTCTAAAAATGGACAGGAAAAAAACACTTGCAAGCTTCTTTCTCTGGCAACCAGGTAGATGAAGGTGCAATAGAGCCAGCCCACAGCTAGTATGCTCTTGAGAACAATAATAAAATGTGCAAAGCAGTAGCATGGATATTGCCATGAAAGAATAGAGATAACACGTTAACAAGCTTGAAGGAGACAAACCATTTCCTTCAAAGAACCTGGGAGAAAAACAGGAATTTTCGTATGGCAAAACTGGCACCTGTGCTGCCTCTCGAAATGCTATTGATTTTTGTAGAAAGCGTGGTGCAGGGAGGACAGGCCAGGAGTACAGTCAGGCATGCAGGGAGGAACAGGGCATGCAGAAGGAACGGCTGGTGTTCTGGATCAAAGCACTTCTGTGAGCCACGTGAGCCTTGTTTCCAGGTGATTAAAGTGGGGCGTAAGGAAGTGAAGTGAATTTTCCAAGTCACAAAGAGAACTAGAAAATAATATTGCCAGACTCCTTATCCAGGGTTTTCTCTAGCAGGCCACGTTTAAAATCTTCAGTTGTTTAGGCTGTGTTAATAACCGATTGAATTGTGAAACTGGCAAATTCAACAGCATAGGTGCCAAGCATTAAGACCACCAAGAATCTGAACAGTAAACAGTTGGAAATGAGCTGAGCTCCAGAGTTACTTTACTCAGGGTAACAACAGGTTTCTGCCAAAGACTTGCCTCCTGACTTTTTAGATCAAGGCGAATCACTGGGCCAAACGCATTGCACAAGTGCTCACAAATCCGTGGAAAGATTTTTCTCAAGTTATGCGTGAATGTTCAGTATTGTCATGAGAAAGTGCTTGTTGCAACATTTGCTTCTTTCTTATTGATGAGCAGCTGTGGATGACAGAAACATAAGACTCAGAAGTTTCTGTCCCTCAGTCTCTCCAGTCCATTCTGGTTTAAGATGATTACACAGCGATTTTACATAACAAGAGGCAGTCGAATGGGAGAGACAAATGGTTTTATTTCTCAAATCAGTTTCATTAAGGATTACTCAAAGCATCATCTCATCTGTCTTTGCACAGTTTTATGTTCCTTGGAGGCTGGAAGTGGGAAGTCATTTTTCATAAGGCTGATCTTTAACTAGTTAGCAATGGAACTGTTAACATGAGTACATCCTGTAAAACTGGACATCCATTATCTGGCCCTCCAGCCTTCGCTGCCCTGCATGTTTCCATTCATCATAGCAACCCCTTGGATAGCCCAGCTGTTGCTGCACCAGAGGCCTTCACAATGAAACCCC